>NW_025791762.1:166860-333720 GCF_000001405.40 Homo sapiens | reverse complement strand
CCCCAGGGCATGGAGGGCAGGGTGAGGGGAGTCCCTTTCTGTTCACAGAGCACGTGAGGCCTCTCCAGGCCTAGGCAGGTGTCCTCTCACCCCGCCCAGTTGGCTCCCAGAGCCTCTCTCTCCAGACTGGCCAGAGAGGCCCCATTGTGCTGCCATCTCTTGCATCTCATATTCTTCAACCCTGTCAGAAGAGTTGGGGTGGCCCTGACTGCCAGGCCCACCAGGGCCAGCAGAGTGGGCTGTTTGTATGGGACGGAGGGTGAGGTGTGTGCAGGAGTTGTGCTGACTCGGCCGCCTGCGTGCTGTGTGTCCTTGGGATGTTCCCTAACCTCTCTGAACCTTGATTTCTTCCTCTGAAGAATGGGGCTGAACCTCCCGGAGGTGCCCAGTGCTCTCCCCCGGCGGAGCCAACCCTCACTGATGGGAGCCCTGGGGTCATCTGTGAGCAGGGCCTCCTTACTGGGCAAGCAGCAGGTGACCCTCCCCATCCCCTGCAGGGCTGCTGTCCCGAGGTTCGTCCAGCAGAAACTCTACCTCTTCTTGCAGCATTGCTTTGGCCACTGGCCCCTGGACGCATCGTTCAGAGCTGTGAGTGTTGGCCCCGTCACACGTGTGCCTGTGTCCTCTGTGTGCCTTGAGGTGGGAGGTCCTTTGGGGCAGATAAAGGAGGAGAGCAAGTGTTATCACAGAGGCCTTGGCAAGGAGGGGGTCTTGGAGGGCCACATTGTTCTTTCTGTTTGAGTTTCCAAAGCCAGCCCTCAGGAAAGCCCTGCCCTGTCCCACCTGTCTGGTGCAGGGCAGGTTCCTACCCTTACCTGACCAGGGAGTACTCTGCCCCCTGGGCTGGGAAAAGCCCACCCTGGCTTCTGGAGGGCCAGCAAGAGCCAAACCTCACAGGGCTGTGCATGTCTCTCCTGCGCCCTCTGGAGGAAGTGAGAAGAGTCAGTCCCACCCAGCTGCCGCCTGGTATCTGGGCTCCAGGCCACCGAGTATTTGGCCCCCAGCCACGGAGCCCTTAGCACACACCTCCCCCACAGGTCCTGGAGATGTGGCTGAGCTACCTGCAGCCGTGGCGGTACGCGCCTGACAAGCAGGCTCCGGGCAGCGACTCCCAGCCCCGGTGTGTGTCGGAGAAATGGTGAGCCTCAGCTCCTCTCACAGACATGCCACTGGCTCCCCCAGGTGGATATTGTTCCAGTGGGTGGAGGCCA
Source organism: Homo sapiens (assembly GCF_000001405.40). NCBI lineage: Eukaryota > Metazoa > Chordata > Mammalia > Primates > Hominidae > Homo > Homo sapiens. The sequence goes on along the minus strand of NW_025791762.1, from coordinate 332,509 downwards.
AGCCAGCGGCCTGTGCTGGGGTCAGCCTGGCCCTGGCCCCCGTGGCCTCCTGAAGTCCTCTCCCAGCCCCTGCCGAGCGGAACACAGACCAGCCTTTTCCTAGGCTCAACTTTGCCAGGCCCTAGAATTGGTTTCTTATGGAAGCTGTGGGTGACCCATCCTGCCCTGTCCCCTCTCCCTTCTGTCCCAGATGAGTGTTTAGCCACCCCCAAACTATCCCTTGACCTTCATCAGCACAGAACAGAGCAGCGGTGATCAAGCAGGGGATGAGGGAGGCTGTCTTCCCCTCATCCCCTGCTTGATCCTCACAGCGGACCCCCAGGCTTCCGTGGCACCTGGCATGGCCACTGATCCCTCCCCTCCTTGCCCAAGGCATTCCCCTTTGGACCCTCTGGGGGATCCTCCCTGAGCCCCCTCAGGCTCTGGGCTGGCCTCTGCCATGGTGGCCTCCATCCACTTGGAAAGGGGCCTCAGCCTTGCTAAGGATGTGGCATCCTCAGAGGGCCTGGGTCTTACCTGCCTCTGTCCTGTCCTCCCTGCCTGCCCGTGGCCCCCTGAGCTGTCATCTGTGACAGCTTGTCACCTTGGCTAAGGAGAGTCTGAAAGCCCAAGGGTGAGCAAGGGCATTAGGGGCACGGACCGGGCATTAGGGGCATGCTTCCAGTTGGAAGGCTGGCCCCAACCTGCCACCTCGGTCCCCAGGGCACCCTTTGTCCAGGAGAACCTGCTGATGTACACCAAGTTGTTTGTGGGCTTTCTGAACCGCGCGCTCCGCACAGACCTGGTCAGCCCCAAGCACGCGCTCATGGTGTTCCGAGTGGCCAAAGTCTTTGCCCAGCCCAACCTGGCTGAGATGATTCAGAAAGGTAAGTCCTCAGCCTGGGCCAGCCCGGTATACGTCAACCCAGCCAGACCAGGGCCAGGCCCTTAGCTGGGGGTGGCTGGTCTTTAAGAGGGACCCACACGCCCAGAGTGGGCCCCGGCAAAGGGTGCTGTGGAGACTCCTGGGACACGTCTGTGTGGTGAGGTCTGAAACCGGCTGGATCCTGCCTGCCCTGCAGCCACCAGGCACTGGGTGGGGGATCGCAGGTGTGCCCACAGAGCGGGCCGGCACGGTCCAAGCTGCGGCCCCGTGACCCCGCTGTTTCTCCCTGGCAACTCGTGTTGGCCGCTTCAGGAGGTGAGCCTGGTCTCTGCCTTGCATTCATCCTGGCTGGGTTGGGCGTTGGTTTCTGTCGATCCTCCTGTTGTTTACCTCCTGCAGACACTGCTAGGGGCTCTGTGAGCCAGCAGCTCCCCCATCCGCCCTCCCCATGTCAGCCACCTACTGTGTGGGAGATGCTGCCAGGCAGGGCCTCAGGAGGACACCCCTGGGTCATGGCTCCCCAGACACCTCAGAGACACCCCAGAATCCTAAGGGCAGCAGTCGGGTACTCTGCCTCCGGGAAGTGGGTGCCAGGTTCGTCTCCTGCCTTCTAGGTGAGCAGCTATTCCTGGAGCCAGAGCTGGTCATCCCCCACCGCCAGCACCGACTCTTCACGGCCCCCACATTCACTGGGAGCTTCCTGTCACCCTGGCCACCAGCGGTCACTGATGCCTCCTTCAAGGTGAAGAGCCACGTCTACAGCCTGGAGGGCCAGGACTGCAAGTACACCCCGATGTTTGGGCCCGAGGCCCGCACCCTGGTGAGTGGTTCGGCGGTGCCTGTCCTCAGGGCCCCTGGAGCCATGGGGCTGAGCAGAACCCGGGAAGTGCTGTGATCCAGCAGGAAGGAGGGAGGCTGGGTATAGATTTGACGCCATATCTCCTTCCCCCGTTTTAGTAAAGTCTAATTTTTTCCTGATAACGAAGGCAGTGTTTCTTGGGAAATTTCAAATGTAGAAGATCATCCTTTAGTCTTTAAAAGTCTTCTGGCAGAAGCCACTCCTCCTGACGCTCAGCAGTCTGGCTGTGCATTGCTCTTGGGGCTGCCTGGGTGGCAGCACAGGCCTGTCCTGCTGGTGACCTGCCCGCGCCTCCCTTGCAGGTCCTGCGCCTCGCTCAGCTCATCACACAGGCCAAACACACAGCCAAGTCCATCTCCGACCAGTGTGCGGAGAGCCCGGCTGGCCACTCCTTCCTCTCATGGCTGGGCTTTAGCTCCATGGACACCAATGGCTCCTACACAGCCAACGACCTGGACGAGATGGGGCAAGACAGTGTCCGGAAGACAGATGAATACCTGGAGAAGGCCCTGGAGTACCTGCGCCAGATATTCCGGGTACGAGCTATGGGGCCTGCCCCACCGCCATCAGGGTCCCCTTCCCTGAAGGATCCACTCCACCCAGCCTGTGGTCAGCCACCTACCAGTCCCAGGCCCCACACATATGGACCCAGTGTTGTGGGAGGCAGGCCCACACCCCGAGCGTCATAGCTGGGTCCCCTTGTTGCCACTGTTGTAGGCTGGTGGGGTGAAGACTGGTCCCCTCTCTTCATCTTGATGCTGAGGGCAGTGGCATTTCTCTCTGGCAGCTCAGCGAAGCGCAGCTCAGGCAGTTCACACTCGCCTTGGGCACCACCCAGGATGAGAATGGAAAAAAGCAACTCCCCGACTGCATCGTGGGTGAGGACGGACTCATCCTTACGCCCCTGGGGCGGTACCAGGTGAGAGGCCCGTGTCTCAGAGGCGCACAGGCTGGGCCCTGACCCGTCCCCAGCTCCCTCCTCCCTTGTGAGCAGAGGCCATCAGGCTCCTCTGAGTTGTGTGTGGGGCTGTGTTTTCTGACCCATCCCCATGGCCTGGCTTTCTAGATCATCAATGGGCTGCGAAGGTTTGAAATTGAGTACCAGGGGGACCCGGAGCTGCAGCCCATCCGGAGCTATGAGATCGCCAGCTTGGTCCGCACACTCTTTAGGCTGTCGTCTGCCATCAACCACAGAGTGAGTGGGCAGGAGGGCTGGCCTGGCGTCTTCAGAGAGGGTTCTAGATGCTCCTGCCTGGGGTGCAGTCCTGGGGTGGCCTGTGAGGGTGGGGTACTGCTGTCCTGAGGCCTGTGGTGCCACCACCCCACATCCCCGTGCCTCTGTCTGTGCTTCAGTTTGCAGGACAGATGGCGGCTCTGTGTTCCCGGGATGACTTCCTCGGCAGCTTCTGTCGCTACCACCTCACAGAACCTGGGCTGGCCAGCAGGCACCTGCTGAGCCCTGTGGGGCGGAGGCAGGTGGCCGGCCACACCCGCGGCCCCAGGCTCAGCCTGCGCTTCCTGGGCAGTTACCGGACGCTGGTCTCGCTGCTGCTGGCCTTCTTCGTGGCCTCTCTGTTCTGCGTCGGGCCCCTCCCATGCACGCTGCTGCTCACCCTGGGCTATGTCCTCTACGCCTCTGCCATGACACTGCTGACCGAGCGGGGGAAGCTGCACCAGCCCTGAAGGTGTCAGCTGCCTTCAGAGCAGGCTGGAGGGATTTGCCACACAGCCCCACCCTTGGGCTGAGAGGACCTGGGAAGCCCCTCCAGGAGGGAACACGGTCATCCTCGGGCTTCTGGAGCGGGGTTCCTGCAGCCGCAGAGGCATCTGGAGGAAACGCAACCAAGAAAGGAAGGCAGGTGGGCCCCAGCAAAGGAGTAGCTGCCAGGGCTCAACAGCTACGCTCTGTGACAGCGCAGAGCTCAGCGGCGGCCTTTCCCTCCCTCCGCCAAGGACTCACGGCCAAGCCAGCTCTCGGGGCCTTTTTTCCACTGCCCATTTGGCTACTCTGCTGCACCAAGCTTGGGAGCCAGCCTGCCAACAGCCACCTGGGCCTGGCCTCCCCACTGGCTGGCCTTGAGGTTGGCAGAGTGGGTTGTGGCGCTTCCTCTCTCTGTGTGGGACCAGGACAGTGGCTTAAGTCTCCACTCCAGGAAAGAATCAAAGTTTCTAGAGTTGTGAGAAAACCAGAGAGTGGCTGTCCTGATTCTTCACTGTGAGGGGCGTTCTTCATGTTCTCCCAGCTGTTCCAAGACTGGGCCGTAGAATTCCATGTTTCAGGAGCCTAAGACCCTCCCAGAGCCCAGGGGCTTCACCGCAGACCCCAAGCCATTGAGCACATCACCCAAAGCAGTGGCCAACATCGCGGACCCCTGTGCCTTGTCACAGATGGGTGCTGGTCCTCAGGCGTTGGGGACACTGCTGGGTCGATGGGGTCGGATTCTGCCAGTTTCTGCTCTGCAGCCAAAGATGGTCAGAAGCATTGTCACTTCAGTAACATCAAGTGCTCAAAGACATGGCAACCGTTCAGTGGTACTTAAGTATTCAAAATATACAACTACAGATTCTCTGACAGAAACCAGCACGGGGTCTTCACCTTCATTCACCCCACAGGCGACATGCGAGGGAGAACAGCATCTCAGTGGTGATTTCCAAACCAAGCCTTTGTTTTCGGTGTGGGGTTTTGGGGGTTTGCTTTAATGTTTTTGAAATTGTAAATGTTGGGCTTTGTATTTTGATGTAAACTGAGCATAATGGCATTTTAGGGCCTGTGACCAAAAATGAAGCTTGTAACGACCATGGATCTGAATAAACATGTCCTTGCTTCTGAGTCTTCTGGCACCTGGGCTCAGTCTCTAGGAGGTTCACCTGTACAGAGTCCCTGAGCACACGGGGGCTGCAGAAACAACTGTTGGGCACCCTGTCGGCCCCTCCCGCTAGTGTCCACAGGCCTGGACCTCTGGCTTCCTATGCTTTCCTCTCTCAGAGGCACAGTAGACTTTGCCCTGCCTTTACAAAAGATTCAAAAAGTTAGGCATGGTGGTTCACATGTGTGGTCCCAGCTACTTGGGATGCTGAGTTTGGAGGATCATCAGGGTCCAGGAGGTCAAGGCTGTAGTGAGCCTTCATCACGCCACTATACTCCAGCCTGGGTGACAGAGTGAGACCCTGTTCTCAAAGAAAAGCTGACCACCGGGAACATGTGCTGCCAAGTCTATGGCTTCCAGAAGCTCTGAGGATTGCGGGAGTTGCTGGGGGCTGAACTGTCTGGCCAGGAGCGGAGGGCAGACAAAAATGCATTGAGAACCAAGAACAGCAAAGCTGAGTGAGGGGTCAGGGTCTTGGTGGCTGGGACCTGGACAGCGATGGCCACAAAGCCAGCTGGTGCTCAGTGGCTTCTCCCTGGGGAGCGAGGGCAGCAGTGGGCAGCTGGGTTCCAGCCACTTCCAGGTGGGGGGTAGGGACCTCGCCAATAAAATGGGATTTAAATTTTGCCAAGAACTCTCACTGTAGAGAAAATGGGACTGCTGGGATGAGAGCAGAAGCAAAATGCAGTTGGGGGGGCCCGGCCAGGAGGCACTTGTGAGGGACTTCCGGGGAAGGACGAGTTGGAGCAACTCAGGGGAAGCAGTTCTGTCTGGGGCACAAGGAGGAGGGAGGCCAGGCTGGAGGCAGGAGCTCCTGCAGATTCTTGTCTCCACCCCTGGATGCTTCCAGAGTGGTTTGCCCTAACTGCCACTGCCACCGCCTCCTCAGCTCCTAGGATGCCCTTGACTTTTTGCCATTGGGCCACACTCCCCTGCTAACAGGCCAAATCCGATGCTTTTCTGACCACGTGGCCCAGAGACTCTGGCAGCGCAGCTTCAGCCTGTCCTGACACCACCCCTGCCCCCGCACCTCCGCATCGTCCTCCTTGCCCCGAGACAATCCCGTTCCCTGGATCCCATTCGTGGCCCACTCCCTTCCATGATCTACCGCTAGGATATACCAGCGCCCCCGTGATCCAAGGTAAGTCAGATTCTGATCATCTTGTGCAAGCAACTCACAAGCAGAGGCCCTGTGCAGTCGGGAGAAATCTATACCTTTCCCCTTGGACATCCAAGAGCAAGTTAGATCCCCTAAAGGCCAGCTCTCACCAATAACCCTGACATTTCCAATATAAATGAGAGAGAACTCTCTGTTTTGAGACAAGGTCTTGCTATATTGCCCAGGCTGGAGTGCACTGCACCATGACAGCTCACTGCAGCCTCTTAACTCCTGGGCTTAAGCAATCCTTCCGCCTCAGCATCCCAAGTAGCCAGGACTACAGGCATGCGCCACCGCACCCTGCTAATTTTTAAATTTCTTTGTAGAGACGGGGTCTCACTGTGTTGCCAGGCTGGTCTTGAACTCCTAGGCTCAAGTGATCCGACCGCCTCCGCATCCTGAAGTGCTAGGGTTACAGGTGTGAGCCACCACACTGGAGAGCGGACTCTTATGTAGCCTTCACTGTAAAAATTAAGCTAGCTTCCCTTGACTCCCAAAACCAGAATTCCTAGCATAATTTTCTCAAGTCACAAGGTGCGAAAATATATCAAATTATTTCCCAGTCAAGAATTCCTACTTTTGGCCAGGCGCAGTGGCTCATGCCTGTAATCCCAGCACTTTAGGAGGCTGAGGCAGGAAGATCACTTGACGTCAGGAGTTTGAGACCAGCCTGGCCAACATGCTGAAATCCCATCTCTACTGAAAATACAAAAATTAGCTAGTGTGGTGGCGCATGCCTCTAATCTCAGTTACTTGGGAGGCTGAGGCAAGAAGATCGCTTGAACCTGGGATGTAGAGGTTGCAGTAAGCCGAGATCGTACCACTGTACTCCAGCCTGGGTGACAAGAGACTCCTTCTCAAAAAATAAATAAATAAAAAAAGTGATAAATTGGCAGCTGGCGCCAGGGACAGGCCATTTCCTGATGGGCCACACCTATTTCACTAAAGTGTTAATTGAATGCAGATTCCAGGGAGAATCAACTTCCCAGGCATGTGCATTAAGAGACAAAGTGGTGGAGTATGACCTTCGGGGGGCACCCCACCCGAAAACCTCAGATGGGCATGCATACAGTTTCCTAAACACACTGCATGTGCTCAACTCCCAAGGGTAAGGAGGGTACTGTACATGTGGGCAGCCCACCCTAAGGGAAGGATCATGGGAAAGGGGCCAGTCTAGAAAGTCCTAGGATCAAGGTTAAACACCACACTTGACTTTCATGTGCCCACTTAGGTCTCTTCCAAGCGTACTTTCCTTTCTTTCCTGTTCTAAAGCCTTTTAAAATACACTTCCACTCCTGCTCTGAAACTTGCTTCGGTCTCTTTTTCTGCCTTATGCCCCTCAGTCGAATTCCTTCTTCTGAGGAGCCAAGAATTGTGGTTGCTGAAGACCCATCCGGATTCACTGCCAGTGACTTGGACACCTTCCACTGCTAACACTATTAACTCGGACACCTTCCACTGCTAACACAATAACACTGGGTTATTGTGTTTATTTGGAGAGTGCGTATGGTTTAAGGAGATGTGTATGGGTGCCAGGTTGACAAGGGGTGGACTTGTGATGGTTAATTCTATATGTCAGCTTGTCTGGGCCACCGGATGCACTCATATCTGGTTACACATTATTTCCTGGCAGGTCTGTAAGGGTGTTTTCAGAAGAAAGTGGCATTTAAATTGGTGGTGCAAGCAGCCATGCATGCATTTCTGGAGTAGCTTCCCTATAGCTTGCAGGAACCAGAGCGGGCAATAAGAGCCCCATCCTCCAAATACTGGGGATCTGTGCTCTGATTGATGATGGCTGCTGTTGATTGTGAAAATGCAGACAAAGAGGCAGGCAGCCACTGCTGCAATCTCCACTGCTATGTTTGCAACGTCCCTCCTCAACCCTCACTGCCTCCCTGGGTACACACCTTCCAGGAGGTTTTTATGGATCAGCACCTCCTCCTGCCTTCATTTTTCTTTTCTCCTTCTTGGGAACCAGATGTTTAGGACTAGGACATTCAAAAGCAACCATATACCAGGCACAGTGGCTCATACCTGTAATTTCAACACTTCTGGAGGCTGAGGGAGGAAGATTGCCTCAGCCCAGGGGTTTGAGACCAATCTGGGCAACATAGCAAGACAAAAAAAAAAAAAAAAATTAGCCAGGCGTGGTGTGTGCCTGTAATCCCAGTTACTAGGGAAGCTGAGGCAGGAGGATGGCTTGAGCCCAGGAGTTCCAGGCTGCAAGTGAGCTATAATCGCGCCACTGCACTCCTGCCTGGATGAATTTCTCTCCACTCAGGATATCCTCCCTCCCAGCAATAATATTGCTACCATTCATTCCAGCTATCCATAAACCATAATTACTAAATACATGTTGCCATAATTTTTTTGAACAACCTGTCATCTATTAAAAATAATAATAAAGATTATATTTTATTTTACTTTATTCCTTCTCTAATGCACTTCCCTTTTTTTAGATCCAAATTTCCTATATCTTTTTCCTTCTTTTTTTGAAACAGGGTCTCTCTGTGTTGCCCAAGCTGGAGTGCAGTGGTGCAATCACGGCTCGCTGCATCTCAGCCTTCTCAGTAGCTGGGACTGCAGGTGTGCACCACCATGCAGGCAAACTTTTTAGTTTTTTGTGGAGTCAGGGTCTGGCTATATTGCCCAGGCTGGTCTCTAACTCTTGGGCTCAAGAGATGCTCCTGCTTTGGCCTCTCAAAGTGCTGGGATTACAGGCATCAGCCATGCACCTGAGTTTTCATTTCTGTTGTGTTTTTGACTTCTTACATTTTCTTTTAGTTTTTTGAGATGGAGTCTCACTCTGTTGCTCGGGATGGAGTGCAGTGGCAGGATCTCAGCTTGCTGGAAACTTCACCTCCTGGGTTCAAGCAATTCTTTGGCCTCGGCCTCCTGAGTAGCTGGGATTACAGACATGCACCACCATGCCTGCCTTTCTTTTTTCTTTTTTTTTTTTTGAGATGGAGTCTTGTTCTGTCGCCCAGGCTGGAGTGCAGTGGCATGATCTTGGCTCACTGCAAGCTCCGCCTCCCGGGTTCACGCCATTCTTCTACCTCAGCTTCCCGAGTAGCTGGGACCACAGGCGCCCACCACCATGCCTGGCTAATTTTTTGTATTTTAGTAGAGATGGGGTTTTACCGTGTTAGCCAGGATGGTCTCGATCTCCTGACCTCATGATCCGCCCGCCTCGGCCTCCCAATAATTTTTGTATTTTTAGTAGAGATGGGTTTTCACCATGTTGCCCAGGCTGGTCTTGAACTCCTGACCTCAAGTGATTCACCCACCTCGGCCTCCCAAAGTGTTGGGATTAGCGGTGTAAGCCACTGTGCCTGGCCAACTTCTCACATTTTCTTTTCTTTTCTTCTTCTTTTTTTTTTTTTTGAGATGGAGTCTTACTCTGTTGCCCAGGCTTGAGGGCAGTGGCATGATCTCGGCTCACTGCAACCTCCACCTCCTGGATTCAAGCAATCCTCCCACCTTAGCTTCCCAAGTAGCTGGAATTACAGGTGCATGCCACCACACTAGCTAATTTTTGTATTTTTTAGTAGAGATGGGGTATCACCATGTTGGCCAGGCTGGTCTTGAGCTCCTGACCTCAAATGATCTGCCCAACTCAGCCTCCCAAAGTGCTGGGATTACAGACATGAGCCACCCTGCCTGGCCTTCACATTTTCTTTAGATTATTTCTTAGAACGTCTACCTCTCTGTTCCCATTATCAGTCTGTAATCTCATGTTGTCCACTTTTTCCATTAGAGCCCTTAGCATATTAATCATAGTCGTATTCCATTTCTTGGTCTGATAATTCCAACATCTCTGCCATATTTAAGTGTGGCTCTGATGCTTGCTGTGTCTTCGAACTGTGTTGTTTTTTATTATGCCTTGCAAGTTTTTGTTGAGGGCTGGTCATGCTCAACCAGTAAATGGACTTTCTGTGTGAAGTTTTATGTTGGTCTGGTTAGGGGTTGTGCCATGTGTGCTGTTTGTTAACTGGAGGTGTCAGAGGCTTAAACCTCCTCTAGTGTCTTAGTTTTTGTCTCCCTGTTGTCTTTACGGTTTCCTAGAGATTTCTCGAATAAGCTCTGAGATGAGCAGTTCTTTCACTTGTATCCCCTGTTATTATACAGGAGCCCCGCTGATGTGGCAGTAAGATGTGGGGAAGGAGAGCCAGAGCAGGCTGGGGTTAGCTATGTTCCCTTCCTCCAGGTTTGTTGGTGTCTGGCAAAATTATGATTGGCCTGGCTGTGATTTTTTTTTTTTTTGAGGGCAGGCCTTGTAAAAAAAAAAAAGACTTTTTATTTTTATTATTTTTAAATTTATTTATTTATTTATTATTTTTTTTTTTTTTGAGACAGAATCCCACCCTGTCGCCCAGGCTGGAGTGCAATGGCGCGATCTTGGCTCACTGCAACCTCCACCTCCTGGGTTCAAGTGATTCTCCTGCCTCAGCCTCCGGAGTAGCTGGGATTACAGGTGTGAACCACTGCGCCCGGCCTCTTATTTTTAGGCAGCATCTCACTCTGTCACTTAGGCTGGAGTTCAGTGGTGCCATCATAGCTCACTGCAGCCTCGACCTCCGGGGTTCCAGCAATCCTCCCACCTCAGCCTCCCGAGCAGTTGGGACTACAGGCGCAAGCCACCATGCCCGGGTTTTTTTTCTTTTAATTTTTATAGAGACAGGGGCTCACTTTCCATCCAGGCTGGAAAGGATGCCTTTTATTATTATTATTATTATTATTATTATTATTTTAGATAGAGTCTCTGTCGCCCAGGTTGGAGTGCAGCGGTGCGATCTCGGCTCACTGCAACCTCTGCCTCCCGGTTCAAGCTATTCTCCTGCCTTAGCCTCCGGAGTAGCTGGGATTACTGGCTCCCGCCACTACGCCCGGCTAAATTTTGTATTTTTAGTAGAGTCGGGGTTTCGCCATGTTGGTCAGGCTGGTCAGGAACTCCTGACCTCAAGTGATCCGTCCGCCTCGGCCTCCCAAAGTTCGGGGATTACAGGCGTGAGCCCCGGCGCCCAGCCCTGGATGCCTTGTAAATCACTACTCACCCAGGAAGAGCCAGCGACAGGCCCCGCCCCCGCCAAACGCCTGGCGCCCTCCGTCGCCCGGTTTCCATGGTGACGGGGCGCCAGGCTAGGGCGGCCTGGCCACTGAGCCGGGGTGCAGTGGCAGCGGGAGAGTACCTGGCGATGGCGATATGAGCGGTGCGGGGGTGGCGGCTGGGACGCGGCCCCCCAGCTCGCCGACCCCGGGCTCTCGGCGCCGGCGCCAGCGCCCCTCTGTGGGCGTCCAGTCCTTGAGGCCGCAGAGCCCGCAGCTCAGGCAGAGCGACCCGCAGAAACGGAACCTGGACCTGGAGAAGAGCCTACAGTTCCTGCAGCAGCAGCACTCGGAGATGCTGGCCAAGCTCCATGAGGAGATCGAGCATCTGAAGCGGGAAAACAAGGGTGAGCCGGCGCGGGGCCCTAGGCCGGCCCTGCCTCCCCAGGCACACTCAACACTGCCGCTCCCGCAGCACAGAAACACAGCCATCAACTCCAGCACACGCCTGGGCTCAGGGGGAACACAGGACGGTAAGCCCGCCCTGCCACGCTGAGCTGTCCCCTCCTCCCAGAGGGAGACCCGCGTGGCCCCCGGGCAGTGCCGAACCTGTCTGCCTGTCTCCTAGGGCAGCAGCATTTCAGATGCTGACTCCGCCAGTCCTCTCCTCTCCAAGCAGGGTCAGACACACCTCTGTTAAAAACTTTATAGAGGGGCCCGGGCGCGGCGGCTCACGCCTGTAATTCCAGCACTTTGGGAGACCGAGACGGGCGGATCGCGAGGTCAGGAGATCGAGACCATCCTGGCTAACACGGTGAAACCCCGTCTCTACTAAAAATACAAAAAGTTAGCTGGGTGTGGTGGTGGGCGTCTGTAGTCCCAGCTACTCGGGAGGCTGAGGCAGGAGAATGGCGTGAACCCGGGAGGCGGAGCTTGCAGTGAGCCGAGATCTTGCCACTGCACTCCAGCCTCGGTGACAGAGCGAGACTCCGTCTCAAAAAAAACAAAAACAAACAAACAAAAACTTTATGCAGGGAAACGTGCCCAAGTGCGAGTGCGCAGCTCAGTGAATTTCTTCCAGCTAAACACATCGGATCAGGAGCAGGCATTCCCCCGCCCCCCACCCCGTCCCCGCTTCGCCTGTGCCCATGCTGTCCTCCGGCGGGGCCTTCCCAACTGCACCCTTAGCTGCTCCTCACCCCCACGCCCCCCTTTCTCCCTCCCTCCTCCCCCACCCCTCCTGCCCCGAGCAGGAGGAGGGCCCGCCAGGATGTGGGATGTGGCTCCGCTCCTCGCTCTTGCTTCAGGAGGGCTCCAGCAAGGGCACCAGTGCCCGCGGCCTCCTCTCCCGCCCCGTTCCCTGCTGCTGCCTTACCTGAGTGCCGAGTATCCCATCACCAGGCGTCTGTTTTGTCAGGACCCCCCTTCCCCATGTCTTAATAAGCCTCAGGACGCCCCGTTCCTCATATCTTCTTGAGCCTCCCCCCAGTCCCTGATGCCCACGGGATCATGACACCGCCATAGCCAGGGATTCCAGAGTTCACCTCTGTACCCCTAAAGCCCAGGTTCTGCCTGGCAGTGTGGACGCCCTCCAGTCATCTCAGATGGATGAGGCTGATATGCCAGGTGGGCTCTGCCTAGGGAACAGGCAGGGGCCACTCCTGGCCTGACACCCACGACAAAGGCATGGTGGAGAGCGGGATCCATGGGGCAGGGCCCAATCAGCCAGTGGGGGGGCAGGACTTTCGGGCTCAGCAGCCAGGAGAGGACAGGCCAGGCTTCTTCTCTCAGAATGGCTGTGGTTTCACAAGTGCTGAGGAGAGCGTGTGCTTGCTTTCAGATCTCCGTTACAAGCTCATAATGAATCAGACATCACAGAAGAAAGGTGAGAACTGGGCCCTTCAGTTCCTGATGGGATGCTCTTGCCACCCAGGGGAGCCCCTCCAGACTGTCCTTGCCCACCTGGCTGCACTGGCCCCTGTATGCCAACCCAGTGGGGACAGGTTCTGGGGGACCTGGACAGATGCCGCTACCTCTAGCCGTGGCTGGATGATGTTACGCAGCCAAGCACAGCACGTGCTGCTCTCAGGAAGCCCAGGGCCTGAGGTCATTGCAGTGGGGAGGTGGGCACAGGGTGCTCCCCAGACCTCCCTCCTCCAAGTAGAGCTGAAATGGGAAGGAACCCCTGGGACAGCCCCTGCCCTGCTAGATCTTTGCCTCAGATTGCTGCTGTGGCCAGGCCCAGGATCTCCAGCCCTATGGCTCTGAGTCCTGACATGCTGGGGGCCCAGGGGCTCTGGACACACTCCATCCAGGGATCCCTTCCTGCCATCTGGGCAGCAACCATGGGGACAAAGGGAGGAAGCAGAGTCCTGTTTCCTTGCCACTTGTCCAAGGCACTTCCCCATCCTGACAGCGGCCCCCACCCAGCCCAGGATTCTGGGTTGTGGTCTCGAGCTCACTTCCCGTTATCTTTGGGGCTGGGGCTGACATCAGGAGGACATCTGACTGGTGGATGGAGCCAGCCTGGGAACATCGTAGCTGGGGCAGTGCCTAGGGCTCTCCCTTCCCAGAGAGACATGGAGAATGGGGTTGAGGGAGGGCCCTTCCCTAGCCGCTGTGGCAACTCCAGTGAGCTGTTCTGGGCAAAGTGTGGCCCAAGTCGGCAGCCCCAGCCCTGCAGTGCTGGGGACGCTGACAGGACACGGGAAGAGGCCATGCTCTCCCTCGGGACCTGCTGTTCCATGTGTCCCAAGCCCTCCTGCTTTCCAGATGGCCCCTCAGGAAACCACCTTTCCAGGGCCTCTGCTCCCTTGGGCGCTCGCTGGGTCTGCATCAACGGAGTGTGGGTAGAGCCGGGAGGACCCAGCCCTGCCAGGCTGAAGGAGGGCTCCTCACGGACACACAGGCCAGGAGGCAAGCGTGGGCGTCTTGCGGGCGGTAGCGCCGACACTGTGCGCTCTCCTGCAGACAGCCTCTCCACGTCAAGCTTCCAGTCTGTCAAGTCCATCTCTAATTCAGGTGAGCAGGCTGGCGTCCATGTGCTCACAGGGGTGAGTGCCCCACGGGGACCCCAGCCTGGGTGGCCTCTAGGGGTGCTGACCAGGTACCCTCTGCTGGGCCAAGCTCCAGGATTTGGGGATGAAGGTGCAGCTGAAAAGAGCCCTGCAAGCTGAAGCCACCGGGAGGGGATTAAGGGGGGGTGGGCAGGACCAGGGACCAGTCACAGGGCAGTAAGGCCTCACAGCAGGCACCCCAGGGTGGGGCAGCAAGCAGGCAGGAGGGGCCTCCCCGGGTGGCCGCCTAGGGAGGACGTACCCTGGCTGCCCAGCAGCAGCCCTGCTTGGCCGTGTCCCCGCCACAAGCAGGCAGGACACAGGAGGGATGGCACTGCCCACGGAGCCCTGGGCTCATGGCACCTTCTGCAGAGTGAACTGGGAGCAGAGAGCCTCTTTTCCCCACTCTGTGAGGCCGGGCATTTTCCTCAGCCCAGCCCTAACCCTCACCATTCCTGTGATGGGCCCAGGTGCTGGACGGGCCTTGTCCTTGCCGAGGAAACCCATGCAGGCTGGGTCCCAAGCCTCTCATGCAGTTTCATTTTACCCAAGATGGGGCCAGCTTCCACTATGTTGATTGTTCTAGAGTGTTCACAGGCACCACCCATGGGCTTCACCCTCAGAACCACATTGATTCCCCCCAGAACCCTCCAAGGCAGGCTTCCCTTTACAGAGGAGGAAACTGAGGCAGGGACAGGGGCTTCTTGGGTACACACAGCTGTTCCTGGAAAACTTGGGCGGTGACTGTTGGTGCCTGCAGTGACCGGCCTTGTAGGGTCTGACTTGCAGCCAACTCTCAAGGCAAGGCCAGGCCCCAGCCCGGCTCCTTCAACAAGCAAGATTCAAAAGCTGACGTCTCCCAGAAGGCGGACCTGGAAGAGGAGCCCCTACTTCACAACAGCAAGCTGGACAAGGTTCCTGGGGTACAAGGGCAGGCCAGGTAAGGCTTGGGTGTTCCTGGGGTGCAAGGGCAGGCCAGGTAAGTCTTGCCTGCACCCTAAGGGCCCCATGACTACATTTACTAGGCTCACGCCCTGCAGTCAGCCAACTGCTCTGCCCCTAGCTCCAGGGGCCTGTCTCCAGGGCTCATGATAGCAGATGACGGCCACGCTCTACCCATCGGTGGGCGCTGTCTTCCTCCCTTCCCCTGGGGGTCCTGCAGAGTACCTGTGCTGACCTGAGCCCACGAGGGGGGCCAGTAGCGGCCCCTAAACCACTTCCTCAGAGAAAAGTAAAGTAATATTCTGACCAAGAGAAGGCTTGCTGCCCCTGGCCACAGCCTGCCTTTGGAGGGCACTAGGCCAGCAGGTCAGAGTAGGAACAGGTTCTGGTGATCCCTGAGTTTGCGGGACTGCCCTGAGATGCTACAGAGCGCACACTTTCAGCAGCGCAACCAGCAGGACAGGCTCCTGCATCTGCACATCCCGAGACCAGGCCTGGAGCAAGATGCCCCACTGGGTGTGGGGTCACGACCAAGAGCAGCCTGGCAGCTAGCTGGTCACCCACTGAAGCCCATCTGACCCTTAGGGCACCTTCAGAGGGGAGAAAGGGACAGGCCCCAGTCCCAGAGACCCCCACCTGGTGCCCAGAGCACCCTGCTCAGTGGGAGAGGGGAACCAGGCCCTCTTCCCCACATTGGCCTGGGCGCTGCCTGGGGAGGTATGCTGGGTGGGTGGTTAGACGCACCTGGGCAGGTCACCTCTGGCTGCTGCAATGACTGTTTCAGAAAGGAGAAAGCAGAGGCCTCTAACGCAGGAGCTGCCTGTATGGGGAACAGCCAGCACCAGGGCAGGCAGATGGGGGCGGCGGCACACCCCCCAATGATCCTGCCCCTTCCCCTGCGAAAGCCCACCACACTTAGGCAGTGCGAAGTGCTCATCCGCGAGCTGTGGAATACCAACCTCCTGCAGACCCAAGAGGTGAGGCCCTGGGTGGTGGGGGTGGCCCTGGGCAGTCTGGCACCGCCACAGGCCCCACCACGCCCCTGCCCCTGCCTTTCAGCTGCAGCACCTCAAGTCCCTCCTGGAAGGGAGCCAGAGGCCCCAGGCAGTCCCGGAGGAAGCTAGCTTTCCCAGGTGAGTGCCTGGTGCACCCCTGCCCCATCCCTGGGGGCCTATCCACAGCTCACTGCTGACTCTTCCTTCACCCAGGGACCAAGAAGCCACGCATTTCCCCAAGGTCTCCACCAAGAGCCTCTCCAAGAAATGGTAAGTCCCACAGGCATGGGGACAGTGGGGCAGCCCTGCAGCCTGGGCCCCAGGGAGGGAGTGGGGAAGGGAGCGTGGCAGCGCAGAAGCGGAGCTCGCTGAGGCCTCTCTGTGCCCCCGTGAGGGCCATGCAGGCCGCACTCCCCACACACTCCACTCGCGAGGATGCTCACGGTGACAGTCCCTCTACCCGCCCCCAGCCTGCTTCTGAGCCCACCTGTGGCGGAGCGTGCCATCCTGCCCGCGCTGAAGCAGACCCCGAAGAACAACTTTGCCGAGAGGCAGAAGAGGCTGCAGGCAATGCAGAAACGGCGCCTGCATCGCTCGGTGCTTTGAGCTACCCGCATCTGGTCAGTGCCAGGCCCACCAACCTGCAGCTGGAGATTGGCTCTCTATAGCATTTCCTGATACTTCCGCTACTTTTAGGCCTGGCTAAATTCCAAGATAGATAACACTCAAGATAGATAAAGTACTTGATCTCCAAACTGACAAACTGTTTATTTTCTAGCTGTTATTTTGCTATTTGGCATTTACATAAAAGCACACGATGAAGCAGGTATCGCCTTACCTGTTGAAACTGAAAATAAAGCTTGTTTATTTCCAAGTTGTGTGCCTGGCTCCTCACTGGCTATCAGGCGTCGCGTCCCTTCCCAGTCCCAGCCCTTGGCCTCTAGCCCAGGCCCCGCTGTCTGCAGGGACCTGCCTGGGCAGCCCAGTCTTGCGCATCCTGGGACCTGCCAGCGGCCCTGGGAGACAGGCATTGGCAGAGCCATGCACATCCTCCCTGGAAGCGGGAGGGCTTTTCTGGTCCCCTGGCTGGGCTGGAGCTGCGTTCCAAACACATGATCACTCTGTCTCTTGCCCACACTGCACACTCCTGGGGGCAAGAGGCTGTCCTCTGCTGCCCTGACACAGCACCGCAGACAGGGGGTCCAGCCAGGCTCGCCCTCCTCCTCGGAGGGCTGTCTCGAGTGCCGTGGCCATGCCCGCACCACCCCTTCCGCCACAGCACAGCCATGTCCATGTCGGGGGTGGGGTGGCCAGCTTAGTGCCCACCCTCAGCCAGCCACACAGTCTTCCCAGGCCCACGGCCCCACTTCGTTGGCATTAATCTCAGCCTCTTCCTGCTTCAGGGAGCAGAACTTTGCCAGGAAGCTGGGGATGAACCAGGCCAAGGAATGGGACAGTGCGTCAGAAAGGACAGCCCAGGCCCGGGGGCTTACAGCATCCTAACAGGACAGCAGGCCCAGTTTCATGGAGTGGGGGACACAGTGACGAGTCCTGACAAACACAGGAATAACAAGATTATAACAATCACAGATGATGGGGTGGTATGCATTAAAAGGGGCGACTCTTGTCACCAAAGGGCTGCTGGCCGGTGCCCAGGGCAGTGGGCAACATAGGGAGGCACTCACTGCATGGCCCCACCCACCGCCAGGCCCGCACTCTCTGGGTGGCAGTGCGTAGTGTTCTGAGGACGCGGGTCCAGAGGGCCTGGCTCTTCATCCTTCACAATGGGGACACGGCCCTCACACGAGTGACACAGGGGTGCCGGCAGCAGGATCCCCCGTGCCCCTGCTCCCTGGGGGCCCCACAGTGCTCAGCAGGAATGCCGTGAGGGCTGAGGCCCAGCTGGTGGTGGGGAGCTGGCAGCAGCCATGGGCCAGCCCTCCCTCCGATAGGCAGCCTGTGCCCTGGACTTAGGGGCTTCTCTGGGGGGTGCCCCACCTGCCCAAAGCAGCACAGCCTGAACCCAAAACTGTGAGCAGAGAATCCGATGTGTGTTTGAAGGGTTTCCTATGTCCTCTGTGTTCTCCTATAGAAAGGAGCAGGGGTGTGTTGAGCACACACAAGATGCTCTAACAACACCCTGAGCGCACCCTCATGCCGCTGAGATGGACCTGGACCCTGGACAGGCCACGGCGAGCAGCCCGCTCCACCACGCCCATCTCAGTCTGTACAAGTGCGGGATTTCATTTGGCAGATCCCCAAGGCAGGAGAGAAAAGGAGGAAAGCTAACCTAACTCCAGGCTCTCCATGGACGCCAACACCTAGAAGTGTCTGACAGGAGGCATGCGTCCTTGGCCCCGATGAGGCTGCGGGCCATCCCTGCAGTCCTGGCTAAGCAGCCGAGGCAGGCCTTGTGGATGCTCCGGGCACAGGTGTTGAGCAAGGTGGTAACCGAGTGCTTTTCCAGGCTGTGGCTGCCTGGAGGTCACGCAGTGGTGCACCGACCTGAGGAAGGGGTTGGTGCCTGCAACAGAACAATGGGCATGAGCCTGAGGCAGCTGGTGCTGCACCCACGGCCTGCACACCCGGCAGTGCTCTGGGAAGTGGCAGCCCCAGGACTGGCTGAAGCACCAGGAGGAGCCCTGCACGCTGCCTGCCTGGCCATCGGGCTCTCCTCCCAGAGCCTCATTGTCAGTGAAGAACTGAATCTGAATGGGGTTTGGAGCCCAGGGCTTTGCCTCTGACAACCTTGGGGACCCAGCCCTGGATCTGCTGTGTGCCAGCTCTGGGCTCAGGGACACTGACTCCTGTCAACATGACCCTCTGGAGCCACATCGCCCAGATGGGGCCTTGTGTGCCCAAGCTACTGGTAGGACCTGTCAGCCCCGCTGAGCTCCCTGGTGGCCTCTGGGAAAAGCAGGGTCTGTCCTTGAGCCGTAGGCTTTCTCACCCCTCAGCCACTGAACACAGCCACCCTGGACAACTGACCTGACACAAGATGAAGGGGCAAAGGGACACAGAAGAAGAGCAGAGACCCCTCTCTCTCAGGTGACCACTGGAAAACCTGCGCCTGCCCGTGCAGGGGGAGTCAGAAGAGGGGAGGGAGGGGCCTGAGCTGGGAGGGGCTGGAGTGCACAGAGGCTGTCCCTGCAGCACTGGAAGCCTGGTGTTCCAGAATGACCCCTGCCTGCCCTGGGCCCCCAGACAGCTCCCTCTGGGTCTGCCCACTGTATAGCCACTGCCGGTCCATCCACAGTGGACTCTGGGTAGGGTAGTGGGTGGGCACATGGTGGCACACTTGGGAGGTCCTTGTCGTTTGCAACACACAAGGCTGTACCTGTGACCCAGACAAGCCCTGGCCTGCCCCGCCTCACAGCCCTGCTCCCGAACAGGACTCTTCACACCCAGGGAGGTTCTGGTGAGGCTTGCGGCAAAGCCTGGATGTCTCTCTCACTCTCGGATTTCCAAACCTGAAGCCAGAGTGACCTGCATCAATGGGTGCCCAGAGGTCCTGCGTGCCACCTCCCTAGGGCCCCAGGCAAGCAGAGCCGCATCTGTGTTGGGGAGGTGAGGGTGCGTGGGCTCCGGGGGTGGGGGCAGAGGCAATGGCCAGTCTGTCCTGGGCCCAGAAGACAGAGCAGACAACCTGCTGGCACGTGAACATAGGATGGGGTCTGGGCACTGTGCCCTCCAGCTTGGACAGCAGAGGCCTGGGGCTGCAGTTGGGGGTTGCTCTCTTGCGCCAGCCTGGCCCTCCTGGACACTCGCCCAGCTTGCAGATCAGGCGGACGGTGCCGTTGTTGCTGCAGTGAGAAGGGTCCAGGTTTATCATGCACTTGGGCTCCAACCTGGCCACCAGGCCCTGGAGCACACTGGGGATGCTCTGCTGCTCATCGTCCTCAAGCCTGTGCTTCTGGGTGCATACCACTGGGGCCTTGGGGAGGCACCATGGTGACCACACTGGGCACACATGGCCCAGGGCCAGGCAGCCACCCTCTGCGAAGCCCAGCCCAGCTGGATGTATGTGATGGGTGGGCTGTGGATGGCAATCATGGTTGGCATGAATATGCGGTACAGGGAATGGTTGAAGAGGGTGAGCGGATGTTGGCCAGGATGGCATCCAGGAGCAGCTGGCATAGGTACTGCTGTTTGGTCAGTGGCACCGGGGGCAGTGGGGCAGTGGGCTGGAGCAGGATGGGCATGGTCAGCAGCCCGGAACCCAAGGGTTCCCCATGTAGGGGGCTTTCCCACCCCAGGCCCGTCCTCACTCACAGCCAGATTCCCGAGGCCTCTCTCTCAGCCTCCACCCTTGTGCAGACAATGTTGGCTGATCCTGGGTATATTCCCTACCCCCACAGCTTTGTCCTCCCCAGAGTCCCTGCCCCCTCTGGGCCAGGTGGCAGAGGCACCGATGGGGGCCACAGACAGAGAGTGACTTCTCCCATGTTCCCACCCAGCACAGCAAACCTGGCCTGGAAGAGGCCTGGTGGGCAGGGTCTCAGGTCAGGCCCAGCCCCTACCCAGCCACCCTAACCTTGAAGGCCCCTCCCAGTGGTGCTCCCAGGAGCTCTTGGGGGAGCCCCAATTCCCCCAGGGATGCCCAGGATCCCACTCAC
The DNA here is from genome assembly GCF_000001405.40 of Homo sapiens. Taxonomy (NCBI): domain Eukaryota; kingdom Metazoa; phylum Chordata; class Mammalia; order Primates; family Hominidae; genus Homo; species Homo sapiens. Next base: position 312,104 of record NW_025791762.1, on the reverse strand, counting down.
CACTGCCATGTCATTCTTGAGTTTTCTTTTTTTTTTTTGAGATGGAGTCTCACTCTGTCGCCCAGGCTGGAGTCCAGTGGTGCCATCTCAGCTCACTGCAAGCTCCACCTCCCGGGTTCACGCCATTCTCCTACCTCAGCCTCCCAAGTAGCTGGGACTACAGGCGCCCGCCACCACGCCCGGCTCATTTCTTTTTTGTATTTTTAGTAGAGACGGGGTTTCACCATGTTAGCCAGGATGGTCTCGATCTCCTGACCTCATGATCTGCCCGCCTCAGCCTCCCATAATGCTATGATTACAGGCATGAGCCACCGCGCCAGGCCAATATTTTTAAATAAAAAATTACAAAGCTGTTTTTCTTAAAATGTTACAATAAAATTGTATCTGTGTATAAAATGTATCTATTTTATGTGTACGTGTGTGTGAGTGTGTGTGTGAGAGAGAGAGACAGAGAGAGACAGAGAGAGAGAGAGAGAGAGAGAGAGAGAGAGTGAGTTATGAATTAGGAAGCATATGTACCAAAACATTAGGAGTAGTTGAGTAATGAGATTATGAATGATTTTCACTTTCTTCTTTATACCTTATCAATCATCATCTCAAAATTTACAATCAGAATTCATTATAAGCTATTGTTTGTTTATTTATTTATTTATATTCGCAGTGGCGCGATCTCAACTCACTGTAACCTCAGCCTCCCAGGGTCAAGCAATCCTCCCACCTGAGTCTCCGGAGTAGCTGGGACAAATCAAAGTTAAGTTTTCTTCAGTTTAAAATAACTTGATATAATTATGTTGTTTAGCCTCATGGTAACCAGAAAACAAAAATCAATAATAGACACCCTAAAAATGAAAAGCAAGCAATTGAAACACACTACCAGAAAAAATTATCTCACTACAAATAAAGACAGGAAGGAAGGGAAGGAGGAAAGAAAAGAAAGAAAGAGAGAGATCAGAGAGAAGAGAAAGAGGAAGGAAGAGAGAAAGAACAAAAGAAAAAAGAGAGAATAGCAAAACAACCAGAAAACAAGTAAAAAATGGCAGTAGTATGTTTTTACCTGTTAATAATAACCTTGAATATAAATGAATTAAATTCTCCAATTAAGACAGAGTGGCTGAATGAATTAAAAGACAAGACCCAATTATATACTGCCTACAAGAAACTCAGTTCACCTATAGACATACATAGACTGAAAGTGAAGACATGATAAATAATATCGCACACCTGTGGAAACAAAAAAAGCAGGAGTAGCTCTACTTAGATTATATAGACTTTCAGTCAAAAAAAGAAAAAAATGAAGATAATTATATAATGAGAAAAAGTAAACAGCAGCATAACAATTATAAGTGTATATGCAACCAGCACTCAAGCAACTAAACACAGAAGCAAATATTAACAGACCTTAAAGGATAGACTGCAATACAATAACAGAATGCCTCAATGCTTCGCTATAATCAACACCCCACTATCGTCAATGGACAGATCATCCAGACAACAAAACATCATCAGTTAAACTGTACTCTATACCGAATAGACCTAACATTTGCACAGCTTTCCACTCCGCAACTGCATAATGCACATTCCACTGAATAGAATATGGATTATTATCCACAAAAGACTATGCATTAGGCCAAAAAACAAGTCACAACACATTTTTAAAAACTGAAATCATGGCCGGGCACGGTGGCTCATGCCTGTAATCCCAGGACTTTGGGAGGCCGAGGGGGGCGGATCACAAGGTCAGGAGACAGAGACCATCCTGGCTAACACAGTGAAACCCCATCTCTACTAAAAATACAAAAATTAGCTGGGCGTGGCGGCGTGCGCCTGTAGTCCTAGCTGCTGGGGAGGCTGAGGCAGTAGAATGCCGTGAACCCGGGAGGTGGAGCTTGCGTGAGCCAAGATCGCGCCACTGCACTCCAGCCTAGGCGACAGAGCGAGACTCCGTCTCAAAAAAAACAAAACAAAACAAAACTGAAATCATATCGAGTATCTTTTCTGACCACAGTGGAATAGTACTAGAAATCAATAACAGGAGGAAAAACTGTACAAATACATGGAAATTAAAATACATGCTCATGAACAACCAATAAATAAATGAAAAAATAAAAAGAAAATTAAAAATTTATTGAAAAAAGAAACACAACATAACAAATCCTGTGGGATGCAGCAAAAGCAGTTGTAAGAGGAAAAGGGCATAGCTATAAATGCCTACATCAGAGAAAATAGAAAGATCTCAAATAGCCAACCTGACAGTACACCTGAAGTAATGAGAAAAACGAGAAAAATAAAATACTAAAATTAGCACAAAAAATATCATAAAGATTAGAGAAGAAATTTTAAAAATAGAAACAAAAAATACAAAAAGTCAATGGAACAAAGAGCTGGATTTTTTAGAAAAAAATCAAAACTGACAAGCTTTAACTAGACTAAGGAAAAGAAAAACAAAACAAAATGATAGATGAAAAAGGAGACATTACAATGGATAACACAGAAATATGAAGGATTGTAAGAGATTACTAAAAACACCTATATAAAAACAAGTTGGAAAATCTAGGAGAAGTGATAAATTTCTGGACACATAACAAATTCCCAAGATAGAATGATAAACAAAAAACCGGAACAAGATCCATAATGAGTAATGTAATTAAAGCAGTAATAAAAAGTCTTCCATCAAACAAAAACACAAGAATCATGGCTTTATTGCTGAATTCTACCAAACGTTTTTTAAAGAGTTAATACGAATTTTACTCAAAATATTCCCCAAAAAATGAAGAGAAAGGAAGTCTTCGAAACTTGTTCTATGAGGACAGCATGACCCTGGTACATGGTACAAAAACCAGACCAGGAAACAACACAAAAAGAAAACCACAGGCATTTTAAATATCCCTGATGAACACAGATGCAAAAAAATTTTCAGCAAAATACTTGAAAATTGCACTTGACAACACAATAAAAAGATGATCTGCCATGATCAAGTGGGATTCATCCCAGGAATATGAGGATGATTCAATAAAACACAAATAAATGTGCGACATCACATTCAGCGAATCAAGAACAAAAACCATATAATCATTTCAGTAGATGCTGAAAAAAATAAAAATCAACATTCCTTCATGACAAAAACTGGACAACATGAGTACAGAAGGAACATATCTCAGCGCAATAAAGGCCATATATGACAAACCCACAGCTAACATCATAATCAATGGGGAAATGTTTAAACTCTTCCTCTAAGGCCTGGAACAAGTGTGGCTACTTTTACGCCACTTTTATTCATCATAGTACTGGAAGTCCTAAGTGGGGCAATTAGACAAGAGAATGCAATAAAAGGCATCCAAATTGGAAAAAAGGAAGTCAAACTGTTTGTTTGCAGGTGACATGATCATATATATACACAGAGAAAGAGAGAACCCTAAAGATTCCACAAAATCACCTACTAGAAATAATTTAGTCAAGTTGCAAGATACAATATCAACATATAAAAATCAGTAGCACGCCCATGCACCAATAGTGAAATACCTAAGAAAGAAATCAAGAAAGCTATTTCATTACCAAAAAAATTATATCTAGGGATAAACTTAACCAAAAAGACAAAAGATCCCACAATGGAAACTCTAAAACACAGATGAAAGCTATTAAAGCAGACACAAGTAAATGGAAAGATATCCCATGTCCATGCACTAGAAGAATATTGTTAAAATGTCTATATCACCCAATGTGATCTAGAGAGTCAATGCAATCCATGTTAAATTACAAAAGACATTCTTCATAGAAATAGAAAAAAAAAATCCTAAAATTCACATGGAAACGCAAAATACCTCAGATAGACAAAAGAATCTGGAATAAAAAGAAAAGCTGGAGGCATCACACCTGACTTCAAAACATACTACAAATCTGTAGTAAGCATGGTAATACCAAAACAGCATAATACTATCAAAAAAAGGGGCGGGGGAGAAACAGAAACGAAGGAATGACAGACATAGACAAGTGAAACAGAATAGAGAAATCAGAAATAAATTCACCCATTTATGGCGTACTCATTTTTAACAAAGGCACCAAGAACACACATTCGGGAAGGACAATCTCTTCAATAAACTGCTAGGATAACTCAACACCCACATGTACAGGAATACATCTAGGCCGTTATCTTACCATATACAAAAATCTACTCAAAATAAAGATTTAAATGTAGGACCTGAAACTATAAAACTACTAGAGAAGAAAACATAGGATAAATCCTTCATGAAACTGGTTAGGACAAGGAATTTTCAAATAGACATCAAAAGCACAAGCAACAAAAGCAAAGATGTAATTACATTAAACTTGTCAAAAGCACAAGCAACAAAAGCAAAGATGTAATTACATAAAACTTAAAAGCTTCTGCAAAGCACAGGAAGAAATCAGTAGAACGAAGAAACAACCCAGAGAATGGAAGAAAGTATTTGCAAACTATGCATCAGCCAAGGGGCTAATACACAAAATATATAAATAACTACTCAAAAGCAAAAATACAAATAATCTGATTAAAAAAAAATCTACCCCAAATCTTTGTCTCCCACCATTATTTTCCCACCTTCTTTTCCCGACCGCCTTTGGCCTCCTCCCCCTCGCCACCTGTTTTCTTCCTCCATCTACCCCAAAACTTTTTCCCCACCATTTTTCCCCACCGTCATTTCGCAAAGCCTTCTCTGCTCTCTCACTCACCACCCTTTTCCCCATCCACTTACCCACTTTCCCCACTGTTTTTTCCCACCGTCTTTTCCCTTTCTCCCTGGCCACCTTCTTTTCCCCCATCCCACTCTCATCACCCTCTTTTGCTCCTTCATCTAAGCAAAAACATTTTCTCCCGTCTTTTCCCAAACCCTTCTCCTCACTCCTGCTGCTCACCACTTTTTCGCCCTTCATCTACCCGAAAACTGTTTTCCTCATCGTCTTTTCCCCCGCTCCTCCTTGCCACCCTCTTTCCCTTCTCTACCCAAAAACATTTCACCATAGTCTTTTCGCAAAGCCTTCTCCCCACTCCTGCTCACCTCCCCTTTTCCCCCTCCATCCACCCCCCAGAATATTCCCTACTGTCTTTTCACAGTCTTCCCCCCTTCCCACTCGTCCTCTTCTTTGCCCTATCCTGCTTGCCACTCTCTTTTTTGCCTTCCATCTACCCCAAACTATTTTCCCATTTTTTTCCCAACTCTCTTTCCCTGCTCCCTCTCGTCACCCTCTTTCCTCCTCCTCGTTACCCTCTTTCCCCCCACCATCTACCCAAACACTTTTTACCCACTGTCTTTTCTTTCTCCACCGTCTTTCTTTCCTGCCCACTATCTTTTTGCAAAACCTTGTCTTCCTCCCGCTGGCTACCCTTTTCCCTTCCCCCACCTGTTACCCTCTTTTCCCCCTCTATCTACCCAAAACCTTTTCTCCCCACTGTCTTTTCACAAAACCTTCTCTCCCTACTGCTCAACGCTGTTTCTCCCCCCCACCACCCTCTCTTTCCTCCTCCCTTGCCACCCTCTTTTCCTCCTCCATCTACCCATAAACATTTTACCCACCATCTTTCTGCAAAACCTTCCCTCCCTGCCGCTCCCCACCCCGTTTTTCTCCCTCCATCTACCCAAAAACTTTTTTTCCCACTATCTTTTCCCCACCGCCTTTTTGCAACGCGCTCTCCTGCTCACTATCCTCTTTTCCCTTTGGCACTAACCACCCTCTTTACCCCCTCCATCTATCCCAAAACTCTTTTCCTCCTCTTACCGCTTCCGCCGCACTGCCGTCTCGGTCGCGGTTACCACCAGTCGCAGCGAGGCGAGCCACGGTGTAGCGGCTCCAGCCTCCAGCGTACGGCTGGTGATTACCCATTCCTGGTCCTCTAAGCCGGGCACTGAGCAGCTCCACAGGAAAATACGGGAACGTGGAAGAGCCTGACTTCCCTTCAGCAGCAGTCATATACCGAGATTATATACAGGAGGATTCCTGACTGCATGTTCTGATTGGATGAGAAAAACCCTCCAGGGTTACTTGGATTGGACTTTATTATCATGTTCTGATTGGATGAGAGCCAGTCTTAAGACAACCAATCACAGCATGAAAATAAAGTCCAATCAGAGTAGGCCTAGAGGTTTTTCTCTCATCCAATCAGAACATGTAGTCTGGGAACCACATGTGCGTAACCTCAGTAGGTAAAGCATGCGGAGGTGGCGTCAGGTCATTTCAGGCTCTTAAGTGTGGGCGTTTGGTATCCGGCATGGCTGCTACCTGTTTCTGGCTGGAGCCTCGGACACTGGCTCACTGCAGTTGGTGGTGTCGACAGTGGTAGAAGGGCAACCAGTAGCGGGAGCTTCTCCTGCCAGGCAGGAAGACGAGTAGAAGGGAGCAGCACCGACGCATGCTGGAGGCTGGAGCCTGAGCCCCTGGGGCTCGCCTTGCTGTGTTTGGTGGTGACGTGGGACACTGCAGCTCGGCCAGAGTGGTAGAAATGTCCTGGTGTAGGTGAGTTATCCGGGGATGTACTGCCCGCCTGTGGGGGCAGGGGTTGGGTGTCCTATTGGGGCTCACTGCCCGAGGCTGCACTGCCTGTGTCAGGGGGCTGGTTGGGGGCACTCTCCGAGGTTGCATTGCTGGCGGTGGAGGGGGGCGGTTTTGGCTGGCTGTCCGGGGCTACACTGCCCGTGGTGGCGGGGGTGATGGGGGGGAGGCAGGTTGTGTGCACTAACGTGTACTGCCGGTGGCGGGGGAGGGGTTAGGGGCGCTATTTTCTGCTGCACTGCCCGGGGCAGGGAGTGGTTTTGGTGGTTATTTGGAGCTTACAATGCTGGCAGCGGGGGGTGGTTTAGGAGTGTTGTCGGGTGCTGCACTGCCCTTACTCAGGGTGCGCTATCAGGAGCTGCGCTACCTGTGGTGGGGTGGGGGCGGCGATTTTGAGGCATTGTCTTGTGCAGCAACACCTGTGGCTGGGTCAGGTTGTGGGCACTATCGGGTGCTACACTGCCTGTGGAGGGGGTGGTTGGGGGGGTATTGGGGTTACACTGCCTGCAGCTGGCACAGGGTGTGTTGGGTGTGCTGTCCGGGGGCTACACTGCCGGCGGCAGGGGTCAGGTTAGGGTTGCTATGGGGGTTATACTGCCAGTGGTGTTGGTCGGCTGCAGAGGTGGTGGGGACAGCAACAGCCATGGTCTCCTTGCTCCTTCGGGTGACTCTTCTCTTTTCCAGACTCCAGAGTTCCTCCTGGTGCAATCTTGAGCAGGGCAGGGCCCCCACACCCACTGCGGTTCTCCGGCCTGCACCTCCCGCCCACACCCCATGCTCTGTGTTGGGGAGACCACCTGGGACTACCGGGTGGGGATTAGTGGGCATCGCGGGGGACTGTGGGAACAGGGCACTGTGGGTGGAGGTGTCAGGAATGGGAACCAGCAGTTGAGTGGGGAGGGCTGGCTGGGTCTGAGTTTCTCCTACTCCTGCTCCCCAAGGAGTGCAGCCCTGGTGGGCCCAGCAATTTCTGGCCAGTTGCACCTGGATGGGGGTGGTTTCAGCATAGGCACTCACACCCGCCCCAGTTCCTGGCCACCTTTTGCCAGAAAGAGAGGCTGGACTTCGGTGGGTGGGTGTGAGTGCCTTAGCTGAAGCTGGTCCCTGCCACCCAGTGGCCAGCATGACAAGGTGAGGCTCTAACGTTACCACTCCCTGCATCCCATTCTAGGCTTTTCTGGCTTTGCCCGTCTAGCTGCTCCAAGCCAGGCTGGAGGAGGAGGAGAAGGAATCACCTGTGGTACGCTGGAGCCTGCATGTGGCGTGACTCTGCAGCTCGCCTCGTGTGACTGATGGCAGCCACGGAGACTGCAGCTCGACAGGAGTGGTAGGAGGGTGCCCGCGGGGGCAAGGTGGTAGGAACCTTGTAGGGTGGGCTGCTGCATTGATGGCGACAGCAATTGTATTGGCATTGGTGCTAGTGGTGGTAGTGGCAGAAAGTCTGGGGACTGGGAAGGGGGAGTAGGAGCACTGCAGGGCCCAGTCCGACCTGGGGTGGGGACGAACCTGCTGGTGCTGTACCATGGGCCTCGGTGGCAGTGGTGGAGGTGCACTTAGGGAAAGGAGTCCTCCCCCTTCTCTTGCAATCTCTGGAGGGTGGCCTCCTTCTGAGCCAGGCATGAGTGGCAGCATTGTCTCATTCTTAACAAAATTTAGGGGGTGACTGTGTGTGTGTGTGTGTGGCTTTTTTTTTTTTTTTTTTTTTTTTTTTTTGAGACAGAGTCTCGCTCTTTTGCCCAGGCTGGAGTGCAGTGGTGTGATCTCGGCTCACTGCAAGCTCTACTTCCTGGGTTCACACCATCCTCCTGCCTCAGCCTCCCTAGTAGCTGGGACTACAGGCGCCTGCCACCACGCCCAGCCAATTTTATTTTTGTATTTTTAGTAGAGATGGGGTTTCACAGTGTTAGCCAGGATGGTCTAGATCACCTGACCTCATGATCCACCCACCTTGGCCTCCCAAAGTGCTAGGATTATAGGCGTGAGCCACCACTCCCGGCCATTTTTTCCTTCTTTTTTGTTGTGATGGTCTTGGACTTTTTCAAATTTTGTGAATTGGGGAGGGGATAAAAGGTGTCATAATAGGCCTTCTAATTCCTGCACCTGTTCTTTTTGCTTATTCTAGTCTGTGTATTCTTCTCATCTTCTTGTTCCTCTTCATTTTCTTTTGCTGCTGCTTCTATTTCATGTTTCTATTCTTGTTTCTCCTCCTCTTTTTGTTTTCTTTATGCCAAGCAATGGCCTTAACAAACAACAAGCCAAAATTGTCACTGTGTTGTATTTTTAAAATAACTGGTCCTTTACTATGTTTTAGGGATGAGGAAAAAAATCAGTTGTATAATTAGTTACTTGAATAGCTATGCTTTCACGATTGTGTTAAACCACTTATGCCTAGTGTTCCATTATTGGAATGGTAAGCATGAGGGAGTTAATTACATCCTACTGCTCAAGGTCATTAGAAGGTTTGATTTTTCACTCGTGCAAAAATTCAAAAAATTGCAGCCTCTGGCATAAATGGGCTAATGCGTTGTAAGTAGTTATTCAGAGAATCAAAAAATGAAGCATCACATAAAAATATTGGTGGCAAACAGCCATTTCATCTCTCTCACATATTTGGAGCTATGCAGGAGTCACGGGGTAAGTTCTAATTTATGAGATTATTAAGTGAACTGTATTGCCTTCATTTTCTCTGCCACCATTTCCTTTGTTTTCTTTCTTTTTTTTTTTTTTTTTTTGAGATGGAGTTTTGCTCTTGTTGCCCAGGCTGGAGTGCAATGGGGCGATCTCGGCTCACTGCAACCTCCGCTTCCTGGGTTCAAGCAAGTCTCCTGCCTCAGCCTCCCGAGTAACTGGGATTGCAGGCATGTGCCACCATGCCCAGCTAACTTTGTGTTTTTAATAGAGATGGGTTTTCTCTATGTTGGTCAGGCTGGTCTTGAACTCCCGACTTCAAGTGATCCACCTGTCTCAGCTTCCCAAAGTGCTGGGATTGGAGGTGTGAGCCACCACGCCTGGCTCTCTGCCACCATTTTCAAGAGTATTGTCATCTGCCTGAGCAAACCTGGTTCATCACCACCTCTTTGCAAGAGAAAAAGGAAGTCGGGAGAATTGTGTGTAATTTTTTTTTTTTTTGAGATGAAGTCTCGCTCTTGTCCCCCAGGCTGTAGTACGATGGCCCGATCTTGGCTCACTGCAACCCCTGCCTCCTGGGTGAAAGCAGTTCTCCTGCCTTGGCCCCCTGAGTAGCTGGGATTATAGGTGCCTGCCACCACGCCCGGCTACTTTTTGTATTTTTAGTAGAGATGGGGTTTCACCCTGTTGGCCAGGCTGGCCTAGAACACCTGACCTCAGGTGATCCACCCACCTCGGTCAGCTGTGTGTATTTTAAGGCAAAGATTCACAACCAAAAACGAGGCTTTATTAACTTTTGTATCTAAGAACCTGCAGTGTCGAGCCCTCTTTTATTCCTAGTATTACTACTTTAGGTGTGAACTTTTTATCTTTATTTTACTGATTCCTCTAGAAGTTTATGCATTTTCTTGACTGCTTTAAAGACAATCTATATTGTATCATTTTTCAAGCCCGTAGAAATGTGTAAGGCCTATAATTTGAACACTTGTTATTTTTAAGGTTATGAGCATGTAATATACCGTTGATACATGGAAGAATATGTATAAATACCACTAGATAGGTTATATTGAAGAGATAATATCTAAATTTTTGTCCAGAGTTGATGGGGTGCAGTTTTGTAGGTGTGTTTCTCAATACATTGTGTCCATGTTTTAAAGCATATAGAAATTTGAATACTGTTTAACCTCATATAGTCCTTGTTTATAGGTTTAATATTTCTAAAGACTAAAGACGTCACAGCTCCCTTTAAGATTCAGTAATACTAATAAAATTTGAGATATACAGGGTTAGAGTCCAACAAATTCAAAGGAAAATTGTTGAATTATATAGCCATAGAGCAGGAATGAAACCCAGGTTCTAAGTTCCAAGGGGGCCATGAGCTACCATACAGGTGCATCAGTGACTGGGCATAGAGGTGGCAAAATTATTTAAGAGAGTGAGCTGTGGATCCTAATTATGTGAACATGAATTTTTGAACTGCATAGTGCCTCAGTTTATCCATCATTGCAGTGGGGACAGTAGTAAGTTTTTCTTTTTCTGCTCAGTTGTCTGAATTATTACCCCAGTCTCTCTTGTTGCCACTCTTGATGCCCACATGAGAGGATCTAAGGTAATTTCTGACAACCTGGGACTCCTTAAGGAAAAACAGAAGGTTCCACAAACCCCATTTTAGGAGAAACCTCTGTTTTCCTCATGGAACCCCAAGAACTTTAAGCAGACAGGTCCCTCTCAAAAATCTAAGGCTCTCCTCTGTTTTGCCTTGCGTTGTCTGACCTTTTTGGTTTGGATGGGCATCAGAAATTAGTAGGGGAGAGAGATCTAAAGAAAATTGTGGATATGAAGATGTATTTATTGTAAGAAATGTTATGAAGGAAAGAAATGTTATATGAGAGAGGATCTTATATGGCAAATTGTTGTCCTAAAGTAGAATGACTAATTACAAAAGAGGGAAATACAGGACAGGTCAGATAAATTTAATCATGTCGTAGATAGTCTGTGGAAGTTGTGTTATGATTCATAAAGTGGGAAAGAAAAACTGAACAACTGCTAGATCTTTTCTTGTCTAGAAGTGTTGTGTATGTGATGTATATATAATGGCTCGGCTTAAAAGAAAATGAAAGCTCTTAAATATTTTGTAAGAAAAATAGAAGCTCTAATGCCTTTTATTTCATGTGACTTCAGTAATCTTTGGGAAATAAAGATGGTGTTAAAGTCAGTGGTAAAATAAAAATATCTTCAAAATTTATCCATTTGGTCTAATTTAAGTCAGAGGTTAAGTTTTAGAAGTGCTTTAATGTCATAAATTGATGCTTTGACTTTGGAAAATAGTTTTGTTTACCTGGTTTGGAGCCGTTAGATTTCTAGGTAAGGTCTCCGGACAGGTGGAGTTAGCCATGTCTCCTAGCTATGCTGGAAGGAGTCAGATTTTATCTGCAGTTCTGTCTTGTATCCTAGACTCTGCACCTGGTATGCAATTAAAACTTACTGCTGCTGCTAATCTCTGGGTTCCATTTAAAATCCTTCCATCACATGAATACTATCCCCTGTACTAAATTTTTCCACAATTAAATACTTAGAATCATTTTTGCTGACTTGACCCAACCATTAGTGATATATTTTAAAAATGCTTATAATGTGTCACAATATATTTAGCAAATGTAGGGAATGACATTTTTACTTTCTTCAGCATTTACATAGCATTTATGTAGCAATGCTATCTCAAGTATTTTTAATCATTTAAATGTTAGATAATAGATATGTTTTTTATTCCTTTTTTCTATGTAAATAAATATAATTATGAGATATTTAGTAAATAGTATCAATTGCATATGTCACTTACAGAATATACAATGAAATTAGGATTATTTTTATACACTACATCATATTTACTTGTTGGCTTTCCAATAACTTAGAAATAGTATTCTGGATTAACTGTGTGACTCATGAGAGAGGGAGTTTGTGCAATTATAGTCTTTACAAATTTTTACTAGATTTTTCAAGACTTATGCTAGAACTTTGAGAACAAGGTAATAAATAAGCATATCTGTTAATATCACCTTTGGTCAACTCTTGGCTAGACCCAATGATAATGTAGGAATTAACATAATTTTTCTACTAAAGGTGTTGGATTTGTTCCGAGAGACCACAGTTCAAAGTCATTGACAAAGAAAGTTTAAAAATTGTTAGATTAAAACCTTTTAGTGTGTTTGAAATTGTTTTGTAGAAAAATATCCTGGTTTGTATTGATAGGTTTTTTTTTAAATAACAACTAGACCAAGAGAAAGGGAGAGTAGTGATAAATGTCCATGTTTTCGAGTTGAAAAGTAACAATCAGTGTATTACAACAGATGGATTTGATGTCAAATTACAAATGCTGAGAACGTTATATGTAACTGACTTGCCAGAGTAATTATACAAGGCAAAGAAAGGAAAGGCATCTAAATAGGAAGGGAAGGGGTGAGATTGTCTGTGTTTTAGACTCCACAAAAAACCCATTACAGCTGATAAACACTATATTCAATAAAGTTGAGAGTTACAAAATTAACATTGGCTTCTATACACCAATGACAAACTGTTATCTGAAAAATAAGGTAATTCCATTTATAATAGCAACAAAACAAATATATAAGTAAATCAAAGAGCAAGGAGTAATTTTAATGAAGGATGTGAACGATTTGTATACTGAAAATTATAGCACATTGATGAAAGAAATTGAAAGTGACAAATAGAAAAAGTCCTATATCAATTGAAAAAATTAATATTGTCAAAATTTCAATGCTACTCAAAGCATTCTACAGATTAAATGCAACCGCTGTCAAATTCCAATGTCATTCTTCACAGAAATAGAAAAATTAGTCCTAAAATCTGAATGGAACCACAAAAGATGCTGAAAAACCAAAGCAATCTTTAGCAAAAAGAACAAACCTGGAGGCATCAGACTACCTAATCTTTGACAAAGCAAACAAGAAAATGGGAAAGGACACCCTATTCAACATATGCTGCTGGTATAATTGGCAAGCCACATGCAGAAAAATGAAGCCGTTCTTCAAAGGTTAAATACAGAATTACCACATGACTCAGTAAATTCACTCCTATGTATACACCAAAAATAAATTAAAACAAATGCCTTACACATAAAAGTATTTATAGCAACAAAAAGTAGGAAACAACAGAAATGTCCATGAATTTTGAAGTGGATTAATAAAATGTGGTCTGTCCATAAAATAAAATATTACTTGGCAATGAAAAAGAAAAACATATTAATACATGCTCCAAAAAGGATGAACATTGAAAACATGATAAATGAAAGTAGTAAGTCACACGTAACTATATTATTATGATTCCACTTACATGAAATGTCCAGAATAGGCAAATCCTTCCAGAATAGGCAAATTCTTAGGTAATAGATGGATGATTGCCTAGGGCTGGGAGAGGTTTAAAGGAAGAATGGGGAAAATAGGGAAAGATTGCTAATGGGTGCAAAGTTTCTTTTAAGGAGCATAAAAATGTTCTAAAATCGTGGTGATTGTTTAACTAGTTAATACACTTAAAAAACTGAATTTTATACTTTAAATGAGTGAATTAAATAATATATAAATTGTATCTCAATGAACCTGTGAAAAAAGTTAAAAAATATGTGGTATGCATAAACAAAAAGTTCTTCATTTTATTTCCTAGGGTTTTGGGGAAAAGGTGGTGTTTGATTATATGAGTAAGTTCTTTAGAGGTGATTCAGGAGATTTTGGTGCACCCAACACCTGTGCAGTATACACTGTATACACTGCACCGGGGCAGGAGCTGGCTGCAATCCTGTGGCCCCAAATGCCCCCTTGCTGATGGCCTCGTGTTCTGGGTGCGGAGCAAAGAGGAGCAGGTGTTGAAGGCACCTCAGGCAGGCCCTGGGCTCGGTGGGCGTCTTGTGCTCCGCGATTTTGAGGCCATTTGCAGCCAGCTCCGTCAGCCCGAGCTCCCAGCTGCAGCTGCTGCCATGCACAACAGCACCGCCAGGAGTGTCCTGGGGGCTTTTTTCAAAGGAGGCTGTCAGCATCCTCAAGTTCCAGACGCTTAGCCCCAGTCCTCCTTTAAGAGGCTTTTTTTTTTTCACCAGAGGCTTCTCAGTGGCTTGAAAGCTCAGCTGACTCCCACGAAGTTTGCCGGAACTCAAGGCTGTCAGTGACATTCGTGGCGCCAAGACTTAAGCAGGCGCGTTGCATGCATCGGCCAGTGTCTGTGCCACGTGCCCTGACGCCACCTGAGATAAGCACGCCGCACGCGCACGCGCACGCCTCGCGCGCACGCCCGGCAGCAGCTTGGCTGGCTTGTAACGGCTTGCACGCGCACGACGCACGCGCATAACGGTTTGGCCGGCCTGTAACGGCTTGCACGCGCACGCCGCACGCGCGTAACGGCTTGGCTGGCCTGTAATGGCTTGCACGCGCATGCTGCACGCGCTTTAACGGCTTGGCTGGCCTGTAGCGGCTTGGCTTGGCTTTGCGTTCTTGGCTTGGCTTGGCGTTGGTAGCTTGGATTGACGTTTCCTGCTTGGATTGACGTTTTCTCTCTCGTGTTCCTTTGCTGGGCTTGACCTTTTCTCTGCTGGGTTTGGCATTCCCTTGGGTGGGCTGGGTGTTTTCTTGGGGGCGGGGGTTGGCCCTTTCTGGGGTGGGCGTGGGGTCGCCCAGGGGGGGCGTGGGCTTTCCTCGGGTGGGTGTGGGTTTTCCCTGGGTGGGGTGGGCTGGGCTGGAATCCCCTGCTGGGGTTGGCAGGTTTTGGCTGGGATTGACTTTTCTCTTCAAACAGATTGGAAACCCGGAGTTACCTGCTAGTTGGTGAAACTGGTTGGTAGACGCGATCTGTTGGCTACTACTGGCTTCTCCTGGCTGTTAAAAGCAGATGGTGGTTGAGGTTGATTCCATGCCGGCTGCCTCTTCTGTGAAGAAGCCATTTGGTCTCAGGAGCAAGATGGGCAAGTGGTGCTGCCGTTGCTTCCCCTGCTGCAGGGAGAGCGGCAAGAGCAACGTGGGCACTTCTGGAGACCACGACGACTCTGCTATGAAGACACTCAGGAGCAAGATGGGCAAGTGGTGCCGCCACTGCTTCCCCTGCTGCAGGGGGAGTGGCAAGAGCAACGTGGGCGCTTCTGGAGACCACGACGACTCTGCTATGAAGACACTCAGGAACAAGATGGGCAAGTGGTGCTGCCACTGCTTCCCCTGCTGCAGGGGGAGCGGCAAGAGCAAGGTGGGCGCTTGGGGAGACTACGATGACAGTGCCTTCATGGAGCCCAGGTACCACGTCCGTGGAGAAGATCTGGACAAGCTCCACAGAGCTGCCTGGTGGGGTAAAGTCCCCAGAAAGGATCTCATCGTCATGCTCAGGGACACTGACGTGAACAAGAAGGACAAGCAAAAGAGGTAACCAGGCCTGGGCTGGGAGGAGGTGGGACGTGGGGGGATGATGGGGACATACCCTCCTGGCGGGGGAGGAGGGGGACCTGGCTTTCTCGCCTCCGCAGGCCTCACACCACCCTGGATGTGGAAACCTCAGAGAGGTCAGGGTACAGGGCCCTTTATGAACAGCAACACAAAAACAAAACTTTAGCTGATTTCCAATCATAATTTCCCTCATAGAACACTAATAGACTGTTTTAAAGTGATTTAACTTGCAAAATTAATTAAGTCAATGCAGCAGATTATTTTTAATCTACAGATTTTAAAACAATGTTCTATACATTATAGAAAAGTGTATATTGAGAACTAAGAACGAAGCCCCATAACACATCAACTTCAGGGCTAAATATTCTTCAAATAAAATCCAGTATGGATTTTATATCAATGTACAGTATGTAAATATGTTCTTTACTGAGGAACCTTAGAAGGAAACTGAAATGGGAAGATGGTTCCTGTGCTTGAACAGGAAGATTGAATTTTCTTAAGATGTGAGCTTTTTGGCTGGGCGCGGTGGCTCACGCCTGTAATCCCAGCACTTTGGGAGGCGGGCGGATCATGAGGTCAGGAGATTGAGACCATCCTGGCTAACACGGTGAAACCCCGTCTCTACTAAAAAATATAAAAAAAATTAGCCGGGTGCGGTGGTAGACGCCTGTAGTCCCAGCTACTCAGGAGGCTGAGGCAGGAGAATGGCGTGAACCCGGGAGGTGGAGCTTGCAGTGAGCCGAGATAGTGCCACTGCACTCCAGCCTGGGCAACAGAGCGAGACTCCGTTTCAAAAAAAAAAAAAAAAGATGGGAGCTTTTTCTATTTATCACTTTTACCTAAGCCAAATAAAAATAGCAAAGTTTTAGCGTTTTTAAATTACACATGCTGTCTTTTATTATTGTGATAAATTAATTTTTTGTAACAGAATGGAAAAAGGCTGTTTTTCCAGATATCAAAATGTGCATGTTATTTATTTCCACAAATTGTTTACTAACAGCTGAAAAGACATCAATGAATACAACAGAATAGGAAATTTAGAAATACCCAAATATATGTTAAGAATTTAGCGCTTGATAATGGTGGTGTTTTTTATTATTTGAAAAAGATGGATTGTTCATAATTCATGTTTGGAGAAAACTAGCTAGATTTTTATGTCACAAAAATAAGAGTATAGATTAAAAAATTTAAATATAAAAAAAGAGAAACATACCAGAAGAGAAACATACAAATGCCTATTTATATATGCAGATATATATTTATATATATACTTTTTTTTGGATGGAGTCTGACTCTGCTGCCCCGGCTGGAGTGCAGTAGTGCGATCTCGGCTCACTGCAACCTCTGCCTCCTAGGTTCAAGCAATTCTCTGCTTCAGCCTACTGAGTAGCTGGGATTACAGGCGCCTGCCACCACGCCTGGCTAATTGCTTTGTATTTTTAGTAGAGATGGGGTTTCACCATCTTGGCCAGGCAGGTCTTGAACTCCTGCCCTCGTGATCCACCCACCTTGGCCTCCCCAAGTGCTTACAGGCGTGAGCCACTGTGCCTGGCCATATTTGCAGACATAATAAAATAAGCTCATTTTAAAATTGGGCAAAGTACTTTTTTTGCATATCTACCAGTGACCTATGCACATAGGAAAAGATAGCGTTCCTGGTAGAAGAAGGAATGTAAGTTAGAAGAGGAATGAAATACTGTTTTCTATTTAAGTTAGAAGAGGAATGAAAGGCCGGGTACAGTGGCTTACGCCTGTTACCCCAGCACTTTAGGAGGCTGAGGCAGGTGGATCATGAAGTCAGGAGTTTGAGACCAGCCTGGCCAGTGTGGTGAAATCCCATCTCTACTAAAAATACAAAAAATTAGCTGGGCATGGTGGCACGCACCTGTAATCCCAGCTACTTAGAAGGCTGAAGCAAGAGAATTGCTTGAACCAGGGAGGTGGAGGTTGCAGTGAGCCGAGATCGCGCCACTACATTCCAGCCTGGGTGATAGAGTGAGACTCCATCTCAAAAAAAAAAAAGGAATGAAATACTGTTTTTTATCCACAAAGTTTGTGAGGATGAAGAACAGTGGTACTTACGTAGTCATTTAAAGTTTAAATTGCTACAGCTTTTCAAACAAACACTTTAGTGGTAAGAACCACATTTTTAAAATGTTATGCTTTTTACTCATCAATTCCATTATACTGAAATATCTTTACCAAATAGAGGTCTGTTTTTCTTAGTATTGATTAAAATAGCAGTGTATTTAGAAGAACCCATATAAAGATTTCATGGACAAATTTCAGTGCATCCATAGGATGGACTAATATGTAACTATTGAGGTTGTCAGTAGATACAGAGATATGTCGACATGCAAAGATGTACTTTGCTATAACAAGTGAGAAAAAAAATCGGTTACACATATACACGAACAGAATCTGCTCGTGTTAGCTGAAAACATGTAGAAAATATAATCAAACTTGTTTCTGGGGATTTGTAAGTGAAGTTTTTCCCTTTCTCTTATCTGTGATTTCTGCAATGAACATCTGAAGTTTTAGTTAAAGTTCATTAGTAATGCAATAATCCTTGGGAAGAGAAGGAATATGCTTCTTGCATAGATGCAAATAATTTGTCACATTCTATTATTTATTTTTCTATCTGTGGTTGGCTATCTTCCGTGAACTTTTACCCTCTTCAGAAGTAGAGGGATTGTGTTTACCTGTTCCTGTAGATTTTATTGTATATACATTTTATTACATAATTATCTTTTCATTAGATATAGATTAACATGTAAAAAGTATGAATTAATCATTTTAGTTGAGTTATATGTTTATGAAAATTAAAATAGCAAATATAAGTGATTATTACTATTGCAAATGTATTGCATTACTCGACAGGAGTTTTCTTTGAAAATATTGAACTCCCAAGCTGTGTTCATCCATTCTTTCAATCCATTTAGTCATCAGACATAAGCCAGACACCTATTATGTGGCAGGCATATTCTACTGTCTCTCAGGATCCTTCCACCTTTGAAAACTTCATGTTTATCTGCTGGGCTTGAGCAAGCTGAGAGATTTAAAATTGGTGCATTAGGACTTAATCTCAATTGAAGCTTTTCCTCCCTCCTTTCAAACAGAAGCATTTCTGAAGGTAGAAAATAGTAAAAGACAACCCTTAACTGCCCTTTTGAAAATTTATAAGTCTTGGAGAAAGACTGTTTTAGTTGTTTTAAGAACTAAAATGTGGTACATAAACAGCATGGAATACTATGCAGCCATAAAAGAAGGAACGAGAGCATGTCCTTTGCAGGGACATGGATGGTGTTGAAAGCCATTATCCTTAGCAAACTAACAAAGGAAGAGAAAACCAAATACTGCATGTTCTTACTTATAGGTGGGAGCTAAATGGTGAGAACACACAGATACCTAGAGGGAAGCAAC
Organism: Homo sapiens; assembly: GCF_000001405.40. Classification (NCBI taxonomy): domain Eukaryota; kingdom Metazoa; phylum Chordata; class Mammalia; order Primates; family Hominidae; genus Homo; species Homo sapiens. The sequence continues at coordinate 293,100 of NW_025791762.1, read as the reverse complement.
ACACACTGGGGCCTATTACAGGGTGAAGGGTGGGAGGAGGGAAGGAAGCAGGAAATAGAATGAACGGGTACTGGGCTTAACACCTGAGTAATGAAATAATCTGTACAACCAACCCCCTTGGTGCACGTGTTTACCTGTGTAACAAACCTGCACATCTGGCACGTGTACCCCTGAATGTAACAGTTGAAAAAAGCTCCACAAATCGTTTCATAAATCCGTTTTAAAAGGAGAAAATTTATAACAGTCTTAAATCCTAATATGAATGATTGGAAATATCTGATGTACATACATTGTATAAATCTAAGTATTGACAAAAATGAGCCCATGCTATTCATTTGAATTCCAGGTTTTCTTTGGCTTAAAGTTTATTGAAAACCAAAGTAAGAATTGGTTTATTTTAGAAATTTGTTTTTGTTTTCACCTCAGCTTTCTTATTCCATAGTTCTTTTAAGAACCAAAATTTATCTAAATGCTGGTCATCTGACTGGAACCGCCCCGGACCTGTTATAACATATTCTACTTCATGTAAGACACCAGGGATTGTGTGATGCCCCATTATTTTATGCCTCAATAAGAGAATTATTTAAATGCCGCCAATTATAGTAAATCATGAATTGTAAGTGGTATTTCAGTGGAGACAACATGGAGACAATGATCATCTCAGAATCACTAAAATACAATGTTAGCTGTAATATTTAAAACACACCTGAAAGTGTAGGTATAATTGTATCATCTCAATTCAAATGTTGTCTTTAGTGGTATTAGTAAAAATTAAAATATCTAACAATTATTGAGCTGTTATTTGTGTTAGGAACTATTCTATATCTTTTGTGCAGAGTCTCATTTAAGCATTAGAGTGGTTTCCTGTGAGAAAGCTACTATTTTCATTCCTATTTTATTGATGAGGAAACTGAGACCCCAAAAGGCTAAGCAACAGCCAGGAAGTGACAGAGCTTCAAGTAGGATTCCAGCCCACGTTGAATGTCATCCAAGGGCTATGCTCTTTATATTCATATAGGCTGCCCTTTCATTAATACAGCGAGCAATGAGAGATAATAAATAGTGTGCTTTTTTCATGGGAAAGTTAAATGTTTGTTTTGAAGGCAGAGTAATAGCAGGCTATTCAGTGTTTGCAGTTACATGAATCATTGCTATGGCTGTAGCTAGTGCACTACAATTTCCTAAAAAGTCTTCTCACTCTCATAGGACTGCTCTACATCTGGCCTCTGCCAATGGGAATTCAGAAGTAGTAAAACTCCTGCTGGACAGACGATGTCAACTTAATGTCCTTGACAACAAAAAGAGGACAGCTCTGATAAAGGTATGCAGTAGCCAACTATATCAGCATGAGGTGGGTTTGATTTCAATACATGGCATAAAAATGAGTTTTCTCCTTTAAATATAACTAGTTGGTGAAAGCTGTGGAATGTTATTTTGAATTCCTAAGATATGTAATTTGTTTTTGGTCTAATACTGACAGGCCGTACAATGCCAGGAAGATGAATGTGCGTTAATGTTGCTGGAACATGGCACTGATCCAAATATTCCAGATGAGTATGGAAATACCACTCTGCACTACGCTATCTATAATGAAGATAAATTAATGGCCAAAGCACTGCTCTTATATGGTGCTGATATCGAATCAAAAAACAAGGTATAGATCTACCAATTTTATCTTCAAAATACTGAAATGCATTCATTTTAACATTGACCTGTGTAAGGGCCAGTCTTCCATATTTGGAAGCTCAAGCATAACCTGAATGGAAATATTTTGAAATGACCTAATTATCTAAGACTTCATTTTAAATATTGTTACTTTCAAAGAAGCATTAGAGGGTACAGTTTTTTTTTTTAATGCACTTGTGGTAAATACTTTTTTTGAAAACACTGAATTTGTAAAAGATAATACTTACTATTTTTCAATTTTTCCCTCCTAGGATGTTTTTTCCCTATTGAATGTAAAATGGCAAAATTTGCCCTGAAATAGGTTTTACATGAAAACTCCAAGAAAAGTTAAACATGTTTCAGTGAATAGAGATCCTGCTCCTTTGGCAAGTTCCTAAAAAACAGTAATAGATACGAGGTGATGCGCCTCTCACTGGCAAGGCTTAAGATATTTCTGATTGCTCATGAGCCAGAAGTGGAAAGCAAAAAAGAGAGCAATCAGAAATATCAAGGCCAATTTGGAAATTAGATAATGGAGGGAAAAGACCATGAAGAGGTTGTGTGTGTGTGTGTTGTTGTTGTTGTTGACTGATTTGTTTCCTTTGCATGGTGAGACAAGGTTCTCTTCAATTTTAGAGAATGACAGTTTTCAGTTTGGGAGAGGGAGTTAGTGGGTTGTAAACTACCTAGAGATCAATTTTAGGAGGCCTCTGAGGAACCAGATTGGCAGTGAATAGGTGGTAATGTAAGAGGAAACCCTTGAGCAGAGGGAATATCAAGTAATTAACTGACTTAGTATCCTATTCTGGTAGAAATGGCCAATGAGAGTCTCAGCTCTGCTTTCAAATCTAGAGTGTCTGGATGGGAAGGTGGAAGATAAACAAGTAACAAGATCAAGTTGGATTTTGAGTTGACTAGACCCTGTTCTTCTCTTACCGGGGAAAATCATGTGGTGTTTTCAGCAAATGGGTCTCTCTCCTACTCCTTACTCTTTTTGGCCAAATCTTCAAATGAGAAAGGGAATTGGTCATGTGGGTGAGAAATGAGACTGAAGTAATTGTCTGTTGCACTAGCTTTCAGCTAGAATTGTGCATCCCAGTAACCTGAGGAAAATGTTTAAATAACAAGTCTAGGCTTTTTCTGAATATTTTGATACAGTAAGTCTAATAAAGCCTGGATATGTATATTTGAAAATGTTTCCTTGAAGCCAGGCATGGTGGTACATGGCTGTAGTCCCAGCTGCTAGGGAGGCTGAGGTGGGAGGATTGCTTGAGCTCAGGAGTTCGAGTCTAGCCTGGTCAACATAATGAGACCCTGTCTCTAACAACAACAACGACAACAACAACAATTTTCTCAAAATCTGGATACACTCCTGCTTAAGAACCACTCAATACATAAATGTAATATGTAAATTCTTATGTCTCAGAAACTTAAGGTATCTCTAGAAGAGTTGGGGTTGGATATGTGCTGATTTCTTTAAATCTTTCCAATAACATTAATCTGACTTTTTTTTTTTTTTTGAGATGGGGTCTCACTCTGTTTCCCAGGCTGGAATGCAGTGGTGTGATCACAGCTCACTGCAGCCTCGACCTCTCCAAGCTCAGATGGTCCTCCAACCTCAGTTTTTTTTTTTTTTTTTTCAGTAGAGATGAGGTTTTTGCCATGTTTCTCAGGCTGGTCTTGAACTCCTGGGCTCAAGCGATTCACCCACCTCAGCCTCCCCAAATGCTAGGATTACAGGTGTGAGCCACCATTCCTGACCTAGTCTGACTTTTATCTCTGTGACTGAGACATTAAAATGAATATTATTGGTAGTATGTATCAGCTTACAGAATAATACCTTTTCCTTCCTACCATCAGTTATTCACTGCCGTTCAGAAGGTCTTTAGAAATTTGCTGTGAGTAGTCTTTCAATAAGTAGAGGATGGCCCTCTCAGGATTTTGTGTCTCTTTGTTCAGTCATTCAAGTACTTAGGTCAGTAAGTCGTTAAGAGCAGAGTTTTCTCAATTAGAATAGTAGCAAATTCTAAACCATTTTTTGTCAATTGACGCTGTATTATGGACTATCCAGTGTGTCTCTTAAGTATGTAGAGCTTTGGCATAATCAGCATGGCAGTTTTAAACACTAAAAACCATGGAGTTATTAAGAATACAGATAGGAATTCTGTTAATTTAGTTTCAGTAGTCCTATGAACTGATGGTTTAGTTAACAATCTGGGAAAATTAAATACAAATAGATTTTAAATAAATAAATGTTGGAAAATTTTTTCAAATGGGCAGTATGAGTTTTAATAGCAATTTTTGTTGCATGTTGGAGGTTGAACTTTTGGTAAAACATGAAACTAAAGAAATATTTTACATGCAGATTCTTGCTTTATACACAATTTGTCTTAGGGTTGAGGATATAGAGACAAAAGATACAGCCCCTGCCCTCAAGAAGCTTTTTGTTTAGATGGGAAAAATATTATCATCCAATAACACCATGCCAAATGCTGGTTTAGAAGCAAAGAGCCTTGGAAGCAGTAAATGTTTAAAGTGAGTTTTTGAGATGATTAGAGTTACTGTGGTGAGGCAGAGAAGGGGTGTTTCCAAGGAAAGGAGCAGCGTGTGGGAAAGCACAGAAGAGTGAGAAGGAAGTGACTACATTTTATTTACTTCTATGCGTGTAAGTCCATAAGATCTTATATAAAGTTTCCACTTTGGTTGAGGAATATGTACTTTTTTGAATTACATAGGTTTTTGCTTTATATTGTTTTACAGCATGGCCTCACACCACTGTTACTTGGTGTACATGAGCAAAAACAGCAAGTCGTGAAATTTTTAATCAAGAAAAAAGCGAATTTAAATGCACTGGATAGATATGGAAGGTATAGTTCTTTCTTTTAATCTGTGTGTTGTAGATGGACAGCAGTCACTCAAGTCATAAATATTAAATTAATAAGATTAATGTATACTTACTGGGATGTAGTGATCAGTATCAACACAAATCAGTTAGGTAGAAAAACAATTATTTGGGCTGGGCAACATAAAGAACAGTTTTAGTAGGATTCATCTTCTCTTATTATATTGACTGATGTTATTTGTTATGTGACATTTTTGGTTACATGATCTTATGTTAGCTTAAAGGATTTCATATTAATTTTATGAAGTTTGAACTTTAACTTTTAGTTTACTTTATGACTCAGTATTGAACTTCTTAACCCTTTCTAATAGTTTTTAACCTGTGTCTTACATGCTTTTCCATTAAATATGCTGTATTAAACATAAATAGGGGTTGAAAATCCTTTTGTCTTTTTAATGACTTTGCTTTAAGTTGCTTTCTTTGAAGAATATTAGTGTTAGCTTATCCCTACATAACAATTAATTGCTGTTCCCACATACTGTGGGTTCAACAGCTTTTTTCCTTTTGTTTTTCCAGTGTATTTTGATGTTTTTATTTTTAATTGGTATGGAGAGAGGGAGTGAAGATAGTTTTAAGTGGATACACTTTTCCTTTAATGAAGACAAGCCGTACGTGGGTGATAAAGAGAAAAGAGCTAGGCTTTGGATTCACACAAGACTGGGTTTAATTAGTAACTTTCTTACTTGCTAGGTGTGTGACCTTGGGGACGTTATTTACCACCAAATATGTTGTCATATATGAAAAGTAGGAGAATATATCCTTCAAAGTTGGCTGTGCATAAGTAAGAAAGATATATGTGGCATTTAATTCAGTGCCTAGCACATGGTTATTGGCACCATTAACTGAAACTCCTATGACTACTATTCTTACCATTATTATTACTGCTTTGAGCATGCAGAGAGCTCTTATTTCTCTTACCCCCTAGCTGATTTTCTATTACAGCATGTCAGTCTAGGGAAGCTGTGACAAAATCTTCACTTAAATCTTTGTCCACCTCAGATAAGTGGCCCTAACATTGTTTCTTGCCCATCAAAGGACTTTAAATTAGTAGCTTCTGCTATGCAATACCCCACTGAGATAAGAGGGTTTTTTTTGGTCCCTTCCTTTTAACCTTGGTGGCATTTTACAAAGATGAACACTTGAGCACTCAGGATGCTTATGTCTTTTAGTGCATGTAAATGTTTGATTCTGCACAGACAGGCAAGATGTTACATTGGTAAAGTATATCAAATTAGCTTTAAAAATAACTTTATTACAGTTCCTATCTCTGTCATTTTAGGACTGCTCTCATACTTGCTGTATGTTGTGGATCAGCAAGTATAGTCAGCCTTCTACTTGAGCAAAATATTGATGTATCTTCTCAAGATCTATCTGGACAGACGGCCAGAGAGTATGCTGTTTCTAGTCATCATCATGTGTAAGTGTTTACATTAAAAGGCTAGTTAATGCTGAATTGAGGTTTAAAATAATTATAACAGTTGCATCTCACATATCAGGTGAGATGTCATAGTTTGGTTCAGGTAGTTTTCGCGTGGCAGTGAGTTTTAGTCCCCTGCATCAGCCAGAAATCAGACAAAAAGCAAGACAAGTTAGAAGTACCAATGGGTGCGGGATTCTTTATCTCAGGACTTTTAAGATCTTTATCCTTAGAGATCCCAGCATTGTTCATTTGATCCAAGTGTAACACCTATGCAGGGATAAAAAATAGTGTCACATCTTTAATTTTTCTGATTAGTTATTTGGGTCTTGAAATGTCCAGTTTAGCGGAAAGTCTTGTACTGTCTTCTGGGGACTATGTCCTACATACTCCTTGAATTTTTCAAGAACCGAAGGAGTTCACTAAATCCAAGGAAGACAGTCCCTTTTATCAAGTCAGAAGGAGGAGGAAAAAAGACATTGCAATCATTCTGTTGTTTCCGTTGATTCTGTTGCTGCTTTGTGGCCACTCAAACTGGTCCTGCTGCCTTAAGATGAATCAGTAGATTCAGATCCCTCAAGTCTTCATGGCGATTCATACAGTGACTTTGATGTTTTTTAATTCCCATACCTATGCTTATATGCTCAGCCATTGTTCCCAGAGCACCAGCCCCCTGCTCTGGCCGCTGGGCATCCTGACTTTATCCGCACACAAAGTGACCAAATTGACCCTTCCCCGCATATTCAGAACCTAATGTGGAACCCACATCTTAGCCAGGAATTAGCTGAGACCTTCATGGTAAGAGATCCTTTGAGGCTGTTGTTGGTCTTTTCTCTGGCAGATGTTAGGTGGGCTTGTTCTAAAGGGTGAGAGGGGTTCAAATAATGTGGCAGAAGGAGGTCAGTGTTTGTTTCCTCTTTGCTACCAGATCTGTACTGTGAGGCACCTTTATATCCTGTATAGAACCTTGGGCAGTAGAAAGTCCCGTATGAACCTTGCCCTGAGCAGTGGCTCCCAGCTGTGGTTGGCCCCTTGAGTGATCTGATTTACATGATAATGAAAATTGTCGGAGCTACTTCCATCTCTAGCTCAAGATTTTAAGATATTTTCAAACTCTAGCTCACAGGAAGCCATTGAAGAGAATTCTCAGAATCTCAAGTAGGTTAGTTGGACTTCACAGAGCCAAGCCTTGTCCATGACGCATCACTAATCATGTGTAAAAGTAGGGCTTTGTGCTTGCTTCGGCGGCACATATCCTAAAATTGGAACAATACGGGGAAAGTTAGCGTGGCTTCTGCATAAGGAGGCAGCACAGATCTTTGAAGCATTCCATATTTTGTGCAGTCACTGGAAGGTCATTTGACTATTTTTGCTGACTAGCTCTGAGGAAATAGTGTGAATCAAAGCAAAATGGGTGCCACCCAAATATTGAAATTGTGATTTGTGCTGCAAAAATAGTCATGTAAGATGGTCTATGAGATGACTTTGAGCTGAATAACATGTTCGGTGCAAAATATATTGTTAGTATGTATGTCGAAAATTACAGAATGTCAGCTTGCTACTTCTCCGTGGAAACTAAAAAAAAAATGAAAGTAGACTTTTGGTCTCCCATGTCAGCTGGAATTGAACATCAATATAAAGCATTATCCTAACAGACATCTACTGGCTGAGAGTTTGAGTCGGTAGAGAAGGATCGTTGGTCCAAGTCAGGTCTTAACATCCATTGGTTTTTCTGCCCTTGGTGTGATTGATCAACTCCGTAATAGTGGACAATCACATTATCTACTTTAATGAGATATTTATGAATAAATTTAGTTATAAACTATGACATAGTTGAGATGCCCTGAATTATAAGCCATAAAGAGTAGGACAACTAAGAAGCAAAATTAGGACTTAATAACATTTTCTGAAAACTACAACATTTGCATATTAGAACCTATGAACAAAATACGCATTGGGTTTTATTTGGGATTCCAAGATAATTTTAGTCATAAAGTTTAGGAACAGATTATTCCATTGCTTTACTATTTCTCTGAGCATTTAAAAAATGTTATCTCGTTAAATCTTTATAACAACCTAGTGAAATAAGGCAGCAAAGTCCTCACTTTGTTGAAGAAGACATTGAGCCTAAGAGAAGCAAGTTGTCCAAGAACAAATAGCTGTTCATTATGGAGCTAGGACTTATGCAGAGTTGGGACACTTTCTATTATGTCATGCTAATGCTAGCTAATTTACTGGGTCACAGTGCCCTCGATTTATGACTATTTCACCTTACATTTTTTTCTTCTTTAATTAGAAGCTTAAAGAGAAGTTTGTAGAATGTACTCACAAGTGGGTGGGATAATACTATTAAGTTCTGTTATTCTGATATTGTTTGAAATACTCTTAATAATTCTACATTTGGTAAGTTTTTTTATATCAGTATTAAAATAGTAATTTGGTTTATTACATTTTTATACATAGAATTTGCCAGTTACTTTCTGACTACAAAGAAAAACAGATGCTAAAAATCTCTTCTGAAAACAGCAATCCAGGTAAGACTTGTGATAGTGAATTACTTTAGTCAGTTGTCCCCAATCTTTTTGACACCAGGGACCGGTTTTGTGGAAGACAATTTTTCCATGGGCTGGGGGAGGGTGGGGATGGTTTCAGGATTATTCAATCATGTTACATTTATTGTGCTACTTTATATTATTATCACATTGTAATATATAATGAAATAATTATACAACTTACCATAATGTAGAATCCGTGGAAGCTCTGAACTTATTTTTCTGCAACTGGATGGTCTCATCTGGGGGCAAAGTGAGACAGTGACAGATCATCAGGCATTAGATTCTCATACGAAGCACACAACCTAGATCCCTCAGATGGGCAGTTCACAACAGGGTTCATGCTCCAATGAGTATCTAATGCTATCACTGATCTGACTGGAGGCAGAGTAGAGGCTGTAATATGAGCCATAAGGAGTGGCTGTAAATACAGATGAAGCTTCCCTGGCTTGCCTGCTGCTCACCTCCTCCTGTGTGGTGTGGTTCATAATAGTCCATGGACTGGTATGAGTCTGTGGCCTGGGAGTTGAGGACCCCTGCTCTGCGTGGTCCTACCATAGATAAAAAAGTAAAAGTAAGGAATTTTTGATCACAAAAGAACACTGAAGCACAAGTCATGTTACATATGCTTGTCCCAATAAGTTCTCACTATTACTGACTTCATTCCTCCTCATTTGAAGTTGGAAAGAGATATATTTACTTTGTTGGAACAAGATGTGTTCTTCTACCTGCTGGTTAATTGTCATCATAACAGTAATTTTGTTAGAACAAGATGCTCTGCTACCATTTGCCAAAAGATTGTCATAATAAATATACAAATTGCCCAACTCTAGGCTCAGCAGATTATAATAAAAGCAGAAAAACGTTTCACACTAACAAAAATGTTAGTATGCTACCTGGTTGTGGACACCTAATACATTATATTGTCCAAACTGTATGAGGACACCTTTAATTTAGTCATCTATTTATCAAAGAGCTTTTGTAAGTTAGGTTTTATAAGTTGCAGGAGACAAAGATGGAATAGATGTAGTTTTGATCTTTAAGGTGCTCATAATAGAGCTGTCTCCATTTCATTTCTGTGCTTTTTCAACAGAATTTACAAAGAAAACATTTCTATTTATGTTTTCACTTGTCCACTTAACATATAACTATCAAATGTCTTTTAGATAGTAACCATTTTTCTAATGCTATAGACCACAAACAATTAAAAATACAGACAGGAGCTTTTTGTTATCATTGTCATTTTCATTATTTTACTACTTTATTCAGTGCTTACTGTGTGCTAGATGCCCACTGGAAGCTTATAATTATGATTTATTATATATTGATTATGTGCCAGACATATGTGATGAGGAATGAAAGTTTTGGGAAAAAGTAGGTATGATTTAAGGTAAGCATGCAGAGAGAGAAGAATTTTTCTAGGTAAAGAAGCAGAAGAAGAATGTTTGGCAGAAGGAACATGCAGCGAGGTCGTGTGTTTGCCAGAAGGAACATCTAATGAGATTGCCTGTTTGGGAGGAAGAGCAGCAAGTGCAAAAGACAAGATGCTTGAGTGAACATGGCAGGGTTTCTGAGCAGTTCACTTTTGCTAGTACCAAAAGTGTGTGATACGAGAGGTTGGGAATGAGGTGAATACTTAGCTAAGGCAAGTTTATGATAGACTTTTTAATACTATAGAAATGAGTAGGTCTTATCCTGTGTGCCATGGGAAATTTACTGGGTAGAATGCTTTGGACTGCAAATACTAGATGAACAGTGGCTAAAACAGTAGGAACCAGAGTTGTTTTGGTTGTTCATTGATATCCTAGGATCCCACTTTTCCCTCTTTCAGCTGTGCTGTTGACAGTGTTTTATTCACGTCTCCTTTCATGGTTGGCTAATCCGCAGCAGCTCCAAACATCTTGTTCTCACAACACAACATCGCAAGGGCTGCTTTTCTTCACATGTGTCTTTTAAACAGGGAGAAAACTTAGAAGCATGCAAAGGGCTTCCTGTAACATTTCACTGGCTGGGTCACACCACATGCTCATTCCCAAACCAGGCACTGGGAAGGTAAATACCTGATTAGCTTAGAATAAACATTTCTGTTTCTGAGGCTGAGGAGGGGGATTGGGATAATAAATATCCCAATAGACTTGGATTTCTTCTTCAAGAAAGAATAAGGAATGGCTATTGATAGGGAGCCAACAATGTGTGCTGCAGGGGCTCATTGGAGAAATTTGAGCAGGGGAGTCACAAGATTAAATTTGAGTATTAAGGCATTCTGGTTATGGTGTAAAACGGGTTAGCAAGCTTTTTCTGTAAATGGCCAGGTGGGCAATATTTTAGACTATGTGGTCTCTGTCATATCTACTTAACCCTGCTGTTGTCTGCTGTTGTAGTGTGAAAGCCACCATGATTATATGTAAGCAAACAGGCATGACTGAGCTCCTATAAAACTTTATTTACAAAGCCATAAGGCAGATTGGATTTGGCCTGTGGCCTATAGTTTGCTGGGATTGATGGAAGGTTCTTTACCATGTAAAGAAACCAGGAGACAAAGGAAGTTTTCGCAGTAGTCAGCTATAGTTTCCTTGTCATACATCCTTGGAGTAGCATCAATGTATTACAAGGTTTTCACCCGTCCTTAGTGAAATACATAAAGTTAGGAATCTCAACTACTTGTTTTAATATGTTGGCCTTTGTTTTTTTGGTGTTATGCTTTTTTCATTTGTTTTGCTTAATTTTTTTTATGTAAGAAATAACATTAATAGTTGGCAGGCTTTTTTTTAAATAAAAGCCATTTTGTAAATGTTTGTGTTCCCAGTGGCAGTGGGAATATAAAGCAGAGGCAGAAGAGCGGTATCGTCAATATGATTTAGTGATAATTGAATGAGAAGGGCTTGGGGGACAGAGAGAAATGTCAGATAATTTCCAGGTTTCCAGGTTGTACAGTAGTATTTAACCTGGATGTGAGGACGAAGGAGGAAATTTTCTGGTGAATACAGAAGAGCAAAGAGCAGCAGGTCAGCAGGAATGACTAATGTTTTTCTATGCACGTTTAATGGAAAATTCATGTAGGATATTTTGAATAGGTAATTGGATAACCAGCATTTATAACTCGCATCCTACTAGTTTGACTCTCACTAATAAGACTTGTCAAAGATCCAAGAATCTGAAAGTTGATGATAAATGTCCATGTGTATCACCATCAATGATCAAAAGTTAGCATCCACAGACATAGAATGGGACAGATGAACTTAATGGATAAAGATGAATATCGGAGTTGTTCCTCTTAGGGAATGATACTCTCCATGACCTGTGTGAGTCACAGCTGCCAGAAAAGAGCGAGCAAGGAGCGTATGAAGGCAGCACAGCAAATTCAGTCCTAGAGTGCCCTGCTTGACTTCATGTCATAGTTCTGACTTCTAAAAAATCATTTTCTGTGAAATACACTTTGATTTTTTCCCCGCTTGCAGCCTGCAACCAAACAGAATCCCTTTAGCAGGGCATTTTTGTGTTCTTCCTTTAAACAAAGCAATATATAAATAACAAAATGAAAAAAGAGAAAGAGTGTTTTTTGTATAGGCTAGTATTTAACATAAACTTGAGAGTGAGTACCAGGATTATAGTTAGAATTTACGGACTGGGTAGGAAGACTGGATAGAAATCTAAAGATTGCTGACTCAAACACAATGTGGTTTCTTTGCTTTATTGTCACAGCTCTGAATTCACAATTATTAGTTAAATTCATAGGCACTATAACTTTAGAAAGCACCTTCCCAAACCAAGTATTAAGTGATTTATTATAATTTCTCTGACTTCTTATAGAATTGACTTTCCAAGTGTTCATGAGAATTATTGAGAAATTGCTACATAGTATCATCTCAGCTCTGTCCACATGAGCTATCTGTCACCTTGTCTTAATGAATAATTGTTCAGTAGGAATATTGGTTTTGGCATTTAAAGTGATCTATATCTAAATGCAGATAGGATCAGGGACCACTCTTGAACATTAATGTCCAGGCATCTTAAAATTACACATAAGGCTTTCATAATCTGACTTCTGCCCCACTCTCCATCTTTAGGCCTTTTCCCTGTGTGCCCTTTCTCTGGCATTACTGAGCTGCTGGCAATGCCCTACTCACTCATCCTCCTATTGTAGGCAAATACTTTCACTCTTTCAGGCCTCGCTCCCGCTCTTGCTGCTGCGTGGCATGCCGTCACCCTTTCCTGCCCTCTACCCCTTTTAATCTGGCTAGTCTCAATATTTAAGTCTCTGCTTGGGCATGTTTTCTAGAAAAGCCATCCCTGACATGCTTTATTTTAATTCTTTTTAAACCCTAATGCCTAACATGTATTTAGCAGGACTCAATAAGAAATTTCTGAGTAAAATGTGAGTAAGATGATGCTCAAGACTGTCCTCTGCAGTCTTGGAGCAGACGGGACAGACATGTGGAGGAATAATGTAGAGTTCAGGTGGTAAAGATGCAGTAGAAAAATCAGTGAAGTACTAAGGCAGCCTCAAGGAAGGAGGTACCTGTTTATCTGGGGAAAGACATGCAGAATCAAGGAAGACGTTCTCATAGCATTGTTTTAAAAGATAAATATAAGGACAAGTGTGGTGGCTCACACCTCTAATCCCAGCATTTTGGGAGGCTGGAGCAGGCAGATCACAAGGTCAAAAGATCAGGACCATCATGGCCAATGGTGAAACCCCGTCTCTACTAAAAACACGAAAATTAGCTGGGCATGATGGTACATGCCTGTAATCCCAGCTTCTCCGGAGACTGAGACAGGAGAATCGCTTGAACCAGGGAGTGTCAGAGGTTGCAGTGAGCTGAGATTGCGCCACTGCACTCCAGCCTGGTGACAGAGCAAGACCCTGGCTCAAAAAAAAAAAAAGAAAGAAAGAAAAATGAAAATAAATGTGTCAGAATAGTGGAGGGAAACATTTTAGATATTGGGAAGACATTGTACACTAATAAAGGTGTCAGTAGTAATTTTTGAAATCATTTGTAAGGTACTATTGTTGCAGAAAGCAGGAGGCAGGAGAGACCAAGTGGGTGAAACAGGAGGATTTCATTTAGGTTCGCAACAGCTCAGCAGATTTGCATCCGAAAGCTGAGCCCTGAACAAAGACAGGGCTTGGCTTATGTAGGCAAGCTTACAGAAGCAGAACAAAGGCAGTTAATCATATAGTGACAGTTTTGCAACCTCAGCAAAGCTTATGACCTTGCAGCTGCATTGAAGGTCAACAGGAACTTGCAAATAGTATGCATTTGTAAAAACAGCTCTGAGTGAATGCTGAGGGGAAGGGGAGACAGTAAAGGATTTTGTTTTCTTAACCTTGCTGTGGGATGTCTGGAGCCCATACCTGTGGGCTCTGGCTTCTCAGGCAGGGTCACCACGACCTTTCCTGGGCCCTGCTTGTTACTATCCTTAGAGTCAGACTAGCTAAGTGCGGGAAAACTTGTTTCTCTTTAAAACTAAATTTCCTTTTCTTTACATTTACTGCTTCACTATTAGGAAGTGGAGAACAACATACTGTGTTACCTTACATGCTTCTACTGTATTTTAAAGTTGTGTTTCTGGTGGTTTTGTTCATTTATGTTGGGTGGATGAATTTGTGAGTGAATGACATCAGGTGTCTCCCCAAGTGGTTTGTTGAAGTTTGGGAGAATTATTTCCTAAATAACTATTTCATGAAAAACTAAACACTCAATTTATGAAATAAAATGTTGTCTTAAATCTATTTTTATAAAGGCAATAGTTTTTAACTGTTCTAAGTGGTTCATTTTAACTGAATATATGGATTTCTCAACAGAACAAGACTTAAAGCTGACATCAGAGGAAGAGTCACAAAGGTTCAAAGGCAGTGAAAATAGCCAGCCAGAGGCATGGAAAATTTTAAATTTAAATTTTTGATTTAATGTTGTTTTCTTTGCTTTAATAATATTAGATAGTCCAAATGAAATTACCTTTCAGACTAGGTTTTGAGAATCAATAGATTTTTTAAAGAATTTTTTAATAGATTGTTAAAATTTATTTTAATAAATTCAGTAATCTCATTAACAGAAGAATGGATTCTAATTTAACATTTGATATTTAACTTAAAAAACATAACCACTATAAAATTTAAAATACTCTTATAATATTTTTATTTAAAATACTCTCATCTGCCTTTTTGATTAGCTTATAGCTAATCTTTCCTTTTGGAATAGAGGCAAAAACAAATTTCAGAACTTTGTTCTTTTATTTTTACAACACCCGAACATGATGAAGAAGGTACATCAATTATTGGATTATGTTATTAAGCAATAGAATTATGAACAATGTAACTCTGATGGTCCCTGAGCTGGATTCATGGTTAAGGAGTAATCATGGCCAGTGATTGAAAATCTGCAGTTTTATATTGTCAGTCATTGATACCAAGCTTAAAAATATATTCTGCCTTATGGTCTCTCGTTGACCTCAGCGTTTCTGTTCAGGGAGGGAACCAGGTCATAAAAGCAACACAGCTGCCTATTACAAGAATCATATCTTGCAGAATGGAACCTTTGGTGTTAGTGCACAAACACAATAACATTCTAATTTATTTCAGTTGCAGAAAATTAGTACATATTGTTAAAAAATCTTTATCCACTGTAATTAGTACACATTAGAATATATTAGAACTGGACTTAAGCAGATAATCTGGATACATAACACTATCATATGACAGTATATAATCTCAATTAAAATTTGAGAATTTGCATCTCTTTCTGTTTGGTGTTGATTTCGGCTCCTAATAATTTAAATGGTGCCTACAATCCAGTTAGGAATCTTTTAGAAAAGCACTTCAGTGCACTGTAGGGGCTCACTAGTTAGGGTTTCATGAGGTAAACTCTTTTCAAGTGAGGAAGGTTTTGGAACACTACAAATCATCTGCTGATTCATTTTTGGTAGATTTAACACATAACAAATTAAGTTTAGTCCAAACAAATGGTGATCAAATTAAGTTTGCTGGTTCACGTTTTTTTTCTTCATTGGGCTAAGGTGAATTATTTTTCACATGTTAGTCAGAAGCCAGTAATGTGGCAGTAGCTAAACATAGATTAAAAAGTTAATTCTTAATTTTAATTATTATTTATTTAACAGTTAAATTTTAATTTTAATTATTTTCTAATTTTTCATTGTCCATACTTGATTAGTTAAGAATAAAATTTTTTTAAAACATGCGCTCCAAAAGAGGACACATCACAGAAACACAACAAGCAAATTAACCTTCTGTTTTTGCCTCTGCAGAAAATGTCTCAAGAACCAGAAATAAATAAGGATGGTGATAGAGAGGTATACCTTCATATTCAAATGTTTCTGTTGAATTAGATTTTTACATTATGTTGTTTAACAAAATGTAGTAAGTGTAGGCATACATGATCCTATCATGTAAGTAGCATAAATCATCAGTGAAAAAGTTAATATTTAACTCAGAAAGAATTCTGTACATTGAGTTTTCAAGAGATACAAAGCCTAGAGATATTCTTTGATTATTATGGAACAATCCTGAATGGTGCTATAAAATGCTAGGTAATGCCACTTTAGGAGCTTTGGACCAATCATTTTATCTTTCTTGGTTTTAGTCTGATTATCAATAGATAATGTGGCTAAAGAAGATAGCTTTTTATTCTGTGTATCTTCCAGCTAGAAAATTGTATGGCTATTCAATGTGAAATTTGGGGAGCATCTCATTTTCTGGAATTCCATGCTTGCACGTCAGCAGTTTCACTCTGCTTCTTGTGTTGTGGCAAACTTTGGCTCCCATTTTCAGTGAGCACCATCATGTTTTTGATATCCCAGCAACCAAATGAAAAAAGAATGCTCAAAGGCAGTGGGGTAGAAGAATATCTTAGCGCAGAAAAGGGCAAACTTCCTTTCTATTCCTGAAGCCGCACAGTGTGTCATCCTCTAAATCTGACTGTTTAATGTAAAATCTAGGTGGTAAAGACGGAAGAGGACACATTTTGCATCTTTGTCTTTTTATTTGTGTGTTCCCATGAATCAAATGGGGTAAATACATACATAAGATTCTGAAGAGTGATTGAGAATAAAAGCACAAAATGAAGGAGGGCCCTTTTTGAATTTTGGAAAATTCTGTTTCATTCATTGAAACAGAAATGAAGCAAACTTTACAAAAATTTCTGTGATATATTAATGAGATGATAATTACATCTTAAAGTTATATGGTAATATTTCTATATATATGATCAAATTTAAGTGTGAAATATTTTTAATGACTAAAATAATGACAAACTGAGTCAATTGATAGAATCAATTAAAAAGGTTCTTTTTATTCAATAAAGTGATAACTATCCTTAATATCCCACTCAAGGTTGAAGAAGAAATGAAGAAGCATGAAAGTAATAATGTGGGATTACTAGAAAACCTGACTAATGGTGTCACTGCTGGCAATGGTGATAATGGATTAATTCCTCAAAGGAAGAGCAGAACACCTGAAAATCAGCAATTTCCTGACAACGAAAGTGAAGAGTATCACAGGTAAGCCTATGGCAACATTGAATAGAAGATAACTATGTGCTGTCAAACTAACCCTAATTTGGGCTAATATTCATGATGAACAAATTTTATAGTTTTACTAGGATATTCAGCCCTGCCCGTTAATCAGAAAAATGAAAATCAGCGAACAATGAGTTACCATTTTTCCAGGCATTAATTTATTTGAAAAATAACCAGTATTGGCAAATGTGAGGGAAAAGGCATTTTCTTTTCTTTTTAGTGAACTTTTCTTTTAGTTTCAGGGGTGCATGTGCAGGGTTATTATATAGGTAAAGTGTATCATGGAGATTTGGACTGCAGATTATTTCATCAGCCACATAATAAGCAAAACACCAAAAGTTAGTTTTTTGGTCATCTCCCTCCCGCGACGCTCCACCTTCAAGTAGACCCTGGTGCCTGTTATTCTCCTCTTTGTGTCCATGAGTTCTCATTATTTAGTTCCCACTAATGAGTAAGAATATGTGGCATTTGATCTTCTGTTCCTGCATTAGTTTGCTTAGGATAATGCCCTCCAGCTCCATCTGTGTTGCTGCAAAAGAAATGGTTTCATTGTAAAAGACATTTCATACACTGCTGGTAAATACATTTTGAACATTAATTTAGTAGCATATTCACAAACACATGTATAACAATAAGGATATATAATATATGTAAAGGATATTTGTGTAGATTTGTTACATATATACTTATGTATAAGGACATTTATTACAGCATTATTATATCAAAAAGATGGATCCTTATCAATAGGAAATTATCACTATCAAAAGTAAATCATTACCAATAGGAAATAGCTCAATTTTCATACCCAGAAATTAATGTAGTATGCAACCATTTTTTACAAGTGAGGTTAGATCTAGAGTATACTGATTATTTCACAATTAAAGTGTATTTAAAGCATCAGTGATGACATCTTAAGAGTTCTTGTTAAAATTCTTGTAATATTTCCTGTGTTGCAAATGGAAGCTACATGCTATATTGATGCTGTACCTTGTTAGCAACAAGATTGCTAGTCATTAAATTTTTATTGTCAGTGCCTGAGTGCTGAAATATTGGACCCTCAATCTGAATATTGCCAAGGGATTGTACATGGGGATCTGTATTTAATATAAACGTTTCAGTATATTGGGTAAAACTTTTATTAAAATATATCAAAGGATCTTTCATCTGCTAAACCAGGAGTTGGCCAGCTTTTTCTGCAAAGAGCCAGTTAGTAAATATTTTAGGCTTTGTGGACTATATAAATTAATTTATTTTTGAGACAGGGTCTCACTCTGTTTCCCAGGCTGGAGTGCAGTTGTGTGATCATGGCTCACTGCAGTCTTGACTTTCTGAGCTCTAGTGATCTTCCCACCTCAGCCTCTCTACTAGTTGGGACCACAGGTGTGCAACATCACACCCAGCTAATTGACACTGTGGACTGTAAAGTGAATAAGCATGGCTGTGTTCCAAAATACTTGACTTACAAAAACAGGCAGTGGGCTGGATTTGGCCCAAGGTGCTAATTTGCTGACCCTTGTGCTAAAAGGAAGGTGCTGCAAGTGAAGTGACTCCTATTTGTAAAAGTGCCCTGCGTGTGTGAAATTATCCTTCCTTTGAGAAAAGGATATATTTCAGTATTCACCTCACCATATTTTTCCACAGTGACTTCATATAATTTTAAAAATTTCATTTATAAAATAAGATTATTTTCTGCATTTCTCCCACTTTATTCCTGTTAATAGAACCCAGTATTTTGCTGTGATCAATTATTTTGTATATTTGATGAGTATCAGTTTTCCTAGAATTGGCTGATTTTATCAAGCAAGAAATACTCTCCTTGAAACTTTTAGTATTTCTTGGTCTTTATGTATAAGCATGAATAAAATGATAATCAGCTTATGTGTAATCTAGAAATGTTCAAGGCGACTTTTAGTTCTATAGTTTTAAGAATTTAACACCTCAGTCTGGCATTTTTAATGCCACATGTGTATAATTTTTATAACCTTTAAAATATATAATTGTTATATAAAATTTGAAAACTACACCTGTTATATAAAACTTGAAACTATTTGTCTATTACTTTTCCATGACTGTGGAAGAAAATTACAACATTCTCAGTCATGACTCCTAAGCATGATGTCCTTAAAAGAACTGTCCACACTCACGAACTCAAATTTTCTTTTCATTCACTCTTAATCTCACACCAGCGTCTTCAATTTCAGCAGTCCTCCAACATTGTTTTTCCTCAAGATTATCACAATTTTTTTCTGTAAATTATGCATTTTTCTTACACCTCATTTTATTTAATCTGTCAGCAATATTTGAGCCAGTGGAGGGCGTCTCCTCCCTAACGGCGTCTTCACTTGGCTTTCAGGACCTCACTCCCTCAAGCTTTTCCTCCTGCATTTCTAGTCCATTCATCATGGTCTGTTTTGCTTGCTCCTCCTCATCTTTCTCCTTTTGGACATTGTTGTTTCCCAGGGCTCAGTCCTCAATCTTCTTTCTCCTGACTTTTTCTTTTTTTGAGACGGAGTTTGACTCTGTCCCCCAGGCTGGAGTTCAGTGGTGTGATCTCAGCTCACTACAACTTCTGCCTCTTGGGTTTAAGTGATTCTCCTGCCTCAGCCTCCTGAGTAGCTGGCATTACAGGTGTGTGCCACCATGCCTGGCTAATTTTTGTATTTTTAGTAGAGACAGCATTTCCCCATGTTGGCCAGCCTGGTCTCAAACTCCTGATCTCAGGTGATCTGTCTGCCTTGGCCTCACAAAGTGTTGGGATTACAGGTGTGAGCCACTGCACCCGGCCCCTCATGACTTTTTCTATTGTGTATATGCTAGTGATTTCCAAATGTATGTCTCCAGCTCAGATCTCTCTCCTTAATTCCAGATTTTTTATATCAGCCTGCCTACTTGACGTCTCTATTTGGTTAGTTATTGGGTATCACACACTTGTCAGATCCAAAATTGGGCTACTGATGTCCTTCCTGAAATCTACACCTCATGTAGTCTTTCCTACTTTGGTTAAGGGCAACTCTTCCAATTGCTCTGCCAAAAATGTCATTGTCATTCTTGACTCATCTGTCCCTCTGACACCTCATATCTAATCTTTCAGTAAATCTTGTCAGGTCTACCTGAAGAATATGACCAGAAGCCAGTCATATCTTGTACATCTGAGCCACTGTCATCTGCAGTCATGAGTGTCATAGACTGGGAATTGATCGTCCTGGCTTTTAAAAACTTCCCTTTTCATCAATTCTTAACTCAGTGGATGTATTTAAAACATAAGTCAAATTGTGTCATTCCTCTTCCCCAGCACTTCTGATTGCCTCCTTTTCACTCTGAGTATGGGTCAGAGTTCCTCCTGATTATCTCCCTTGCTCTGCTTCAGCCACACTGAATTCTTGCCATACCGTATCTACCCCTAGTGCTTAAAGACTCCAGACACACCTCTGTGCTTGGCAGTTCCCTGTGTCTGGGATGCTTTTCCCCCAGATATCCTCCTAGCTTAACTCTTTCCATTCCTTCAGTTCTTTATTTAAAACCGCCTTTCTAAGAAGAAGAAGACAAAGGGTAAAAAGAAACACATTAAGGAACATCCACTTTCTGAGGAAGAACCGTGTACTACCCAGACGCATCATGCTTAAGATGCAATTGGCAGCATACAAGGAATGCTCTCTAAGGTAATCAAGGCAAGGTTCAATGAAACAAAGTGATTTATCATCTCTAACTTCAAACCTATTTGTATCTTGACATCAACGCTGTTAACCTTATGTCATCGTTTCTTAGAGTCTTTGATATACAAATAAAAGGTTTTTTGTATTAGAAAAAAAAAACCCTTTCTCAGCAGGGACTCTTCTGGCCATCTCAGCTTTCCCACCACCCTCCCCATCAAACACATAAACATTTCATTTTCCTGCTTTAGTTTTTCTCCTCTAACATACCGTATATTTTGCCTTATCTGTCTGTTGTTATTGTGTGTTTTTCTCACTGTCATGAATAGGGTTTTTATTTTTCACTACCATATCTTCACTGCTTAGAAAAAGGCTTAGCATATTGGATGTAGCTACCTAATAAATACTTATTAAATAAGTGAATGGAGTTTATCCTGTGTATATTGTTTGATTGATTCTCACTTTAAAAATGTTTGACATGGTGGATTGAGCCAAGATGGCCGAATAGGAACAGCTCTGGTCTACAGCTCCCAGCGTGAGCAACGCAGAAGACGGTGATTTCTGCATTTCCATCTGAGGTACCGGGTTCATCTCACTAGGGAGTGCCAGACAGTGGGCGCAGGCCAGTGTGTGTGCGCACCGTGCGCGAGCCGAAGCAGGGCGAGGCATTGCCTCACCTGGGAAGCGCAAGGGGTCAGGGAGTTCCCTTTCCGAGTCAAAGAAAGGGGTGACGGACGCACCTGGAAAATCGGGTCACTCCCACCCGAATATTGCGCTTTTCAGACCGGCTTAAGAAACGGCGCACCACGAGACTATATCCCACACCTGGCTCGGAGGGTCCTACGCCCACGGAATCTCGCTGATTGCTAGCACAGCAGTCTGAGATCAAACTGCAAGGCGGCAACGAGGCTGGGGGAGGGGCGCCCGCCATTGCCCAGGCTTGCTTAGGTAAACAAAGCAGCCAGGAAGCTCGAACTGGGTGGAGCCCACCACAGCTCAAGGAGGCCTGCCTGCCTCTGTAGGCTCCACCTCTGGGGGCAGGGCACAGACAAACAAAAAGACAGCAGTAACCTCTGCGGACTTAAGTGTCCCTGTCTGACAGCTTTGAAGAGAGCAGTGGTTCTCCCAGCACGCAGCTGGAGATCTGAGAACGGGCAGACTGCCTCCTCAAGTGGGTCCCTGACTCCTGACCCCTGAGCAGCCTAACTGGGAGGCACCCCCCAGCAGGGGCACACTGACACCTCACACGGCAGGGTATTCCAACAGACCTGCAGCTGAGGGTCCTGTCTGTTAGAAGGAAAACTAACAACCAGAAAGGACATCTACACCGAAAACCCATCTGTACATCACCATCATCAAAGACCAAAAGTAGATAAAACCACAAAGATGGGGAAAAAACAGAACAGAAAAACTGGAAACTCTAAAACGCAGAGCGCCTCTCCTCCTCCAAAGGAACGCAGTTCCTCACCAGCAACAGAACAAAGCTGGATGGAGAATGATTTTGACGAGCTGAGAGAAGAAGGCTTCAGACGATCAAATTACTCTGAGCTACGGGAGGACATTCAAACCAAAGGCAAAGAAGTTGAAAACTTTGAAAAAAATTTAGAAGAATGTATAACTAGAATAACCAATACAGAGAAGTGCTTAAAGGAGCTGATGGAGCTGAAAACCAAGGCTCGAGAACTACGTGAAGAATGCAGAAGCCTCAGGAGCCGATGCGATCAACTGGAAGAAAGGGTATCAGCAATGGAAGATGAAATGAATGAAATGAAGCGAGAAGGGAAGTTTAGAGAAAAAAGAATAAAAAGAAATGAGCAAAGCCTCCAAGAAATATGGGACTATGTGAAAAGACCAAATCTACGTCTGATTGGTGTACCTGAAAGTGATGTGGAGAATGGAACCGAGTTGGAAAACACTCTGCAGGATATTATCCAGGAGAACTTCCCCAATCTAGCAAGGCAGGCCAACGTTCAGATTCAGGAAATACAGAGAACGCCACAAAGATACTCCTCGAGAAGAGCAACTCCAAGACACATAATTGTCAGATTCACCAAAGTTGAAATGAAGGAAAAAATGTTAAGGGCAGCCAGAGAGAAAGGTCGGGTTACCCTCAAAGGAAAGCCCATCAGACTAACAGCGGATCTCTCGGCAGAAACCCTACAAGCCAGAAGAGAGTGGGGGCCAATATTCAACATTCTTAAAGAAAAGAATTTTCAACCCAGAATTTCATATCCAGCCAAACTAAGCTTCATAAGTGAAGGAGAAATAAAATACTTTATAGACAAGCAAATGTTGAGAGATTTTGTCACCACCAGGCCTGCCCTAAAAGAGCTCCTGAAGGAAGCGCTAAACATGGAAAGGAACAACCGGTACCAGCCGCTGCAAAATCATGCCAAAATGTAAAGACCATCGAGACTAGGAAGAAACTGCATCAACTAATGAGCAAAATCACCAGCTAACATCATAATGACAGGATCAAATTCACACATAACAATATTAACTTTAAATATAAATGGACTAAATTCTGCAATTAAAAGACACAGACTGGCAAGTTGGATAAAGAGTCAAGACCCATCAGTGTGCTGTATTCAGGAAACCCATCTCACGTGCAGAGACACACATAGGCTCAAAATAAAAGGATGGAGGAAGATCTACCAAGCCAATGGAAAACAAAAAAAGGCAGGGGTTGCAATCCTAGTCTCTGATAAAACAGACTTTAAACCAACAAAGATCAAAAGAGACAAAGAAGGCCATTACATAATGGTAAAGGGATCAATTCAACAAGAGGAGCTAACTATCCTAAATATTTATGCACCCAATACAGGAGCACCCAGATTCATAAAGCAAGTCCTCAGTGACCTACAAAGAGACTTAGACTCCCACACATTAATAATGGGAGACTTTAACACCCCACTGTCAACATTAGACAGATCAACGACACAGAAAGTCAACAAGGATACCCAGGAATTGAACTCAGCTCTGCACCAAGCAGACCTAATAGACATCTACAGAACTCTCCACCCCAAATCAACAGAATATACATTTTTTTCAGCACCACACCACACCTATTCCAAAATTGACCACATAGTTGGAAGTAAAGCTCTCCTCAGCAAATGTAAAAGAACAGAAATTATAACAAACTATCTCTCAGACCACAGTGCAATCAAACTAGAACTCAGGATTAAGAATCTCACTCAAAGCCGCTCAACTACATGGAAACTGAACAACCTGCTCCTGAATGACTACTGGGTACATAACGAAATGAAGGCAGAAATAAAGATGTTCTTTGAAACCAACGAGAACAAAGACACCACATACCAGAATCTCTGGGACGCATTCAAAGCAGTGTGTAGAGGGAAATTTATAGCACTAAATGCCTACAAGAGAAAGCAGGAAAGATCCAAAATTGACACCCTAACATCACAATTAAAAGAACTAGAAAAGCAAGAGCAAACACATTCAAAAGCTAGCAGAAGGCAAGAAATAACTAAAATCAGAGCAGAACTGAAGGAAATAGAGACACAAAAAACCCTTCAAAAAATCAATGAATCCAGGAGCTGGTTTTTTGAAAGGATCAACAAAATTGATAGACCGCTAGCAAGACTAATAAAGAAAAAAAGAGAGAAGAATCAAATAGACACAATAAAAAATGATAAAGGGGATATCACCACCGATCCCACAGAAATACAAACTACCATCAGAGAATACTACAAACACCTCTATGCAAATAAACTAGAAAATCTAGAAGAAATGGATACATTCCTCGACACATACACTCTCCCAAGACTAAACCAAGAAGAAGTTGAATCTCTGAATCGACCAATAACAGGCTCTGAAATTGTGGCAATAATCAATAGTTTACCAACCAAAAAGAGTCCAGGACCAGATGGATTCACAGCCGAATTCTACCAGAGGTACAAGGAGGAACTGGTACCATTCCTTCTGAAACTATTCCAATCAATAGAAAAAGAGGGAATCCTCCCTAACTCATTTTATGAGGCCAGCATCATTCTGATACCAAAGCCGGGCAGAGACACAACCAAAAAAGAGAATTTTAGACCAATATCCTTGATGAACATTGATGCAAAAATCCTCAATAAAATACTGGCAAACCGAATCCAGCAGCACATCAAAAAGCTTATCCACCATGATCAAGTGGGCTTCATCCCTGGGATGCAAGGCTGGTTCAATATACGCAAATCAATAAATGTAATCCAGCATGTAAACAGAGCCAAAGACAAAAACCACATGATTATCTCAATAGATGCAGAAAAAGCCTTTGACAAAATTCAACAACCCTTCATGCTAAAAACTCTCAATAAATTAGGTATTGATGGGACGTTTTTCAAAATAATAAGAGCTATCTATGACAAACCCACAGCCAATATCATACTGAATGGGCAAAAACTGGAAGCATTCCCTTTGAAAACCGGCACAAGACAGGGATGCCCTCTCTCACCGCTCCTATTCAACATAGTGTTGGAAGTTCTGGCCAGGGCAATCAGGCAGGAGAAGGAAATAAAGGGTATTCAATTAGGAAAAGAGGAAGTCAAATTGTCCCTGTTTGCAGACGACATGATTGTTTATCTAGAAAACCCCATCGTCTCAGCCCAAAATCTCCTTAAGCTGATAAGCAACTTCAGCAAAGTCTCAGGATACAAAATCAATGTACAAAAATCACAAGCATTCTTATACACCAACAACAGACAAACAGAGAGCCAAATCATGGGTGAACTCCCATTCACAATTGCTTCAAAGAGAATAAAATACCTAGGAATCCAACTTACAAGGGATGTGAAGGACCTCTTCAAGGAGAACTACAAACCACTGCTCAAGGAAATAAAAGAGGAGACAAACAAATGGAAGAACATTCCATGCTCATGGGTAGGAAGAATCAATATCGTGAAAATGGCCATACTGCCCAAGGTAATTTACAGATTCAATGCCATCCCCATCAAGCTACCAATGACTTTCTTCACAGAATTGGAAAAAACTACTTTAAAGTTCATATGGAACCAAAAAAGAGCCCGCATTGCCAAGTCAATCCTAAGCCAAAAGAACAAAGCTGGAGGCATCACACTACCTGACTTCAAACTATACTACAAGGCTACAGTAACCAAAACAGCATGGTACTGGTACCAAAACAGAGATATAGATCAATGGAACAGAACAGAGCCCTCAGAAATAATGCCGCATATCTACAACTATCTGATCTTTGACAAACCTGAGAAAAACAAGCAATGGGGAAAGGATTCCCTATTTAATAAATGGTGCTGGGAAAACTGGCTAGCCATATGTAGAAAGCTGAAACTGGATCCCTTCCTTACACCTTATACAAAAATCAATTCAAGATGGATTAAAGATTTAAACGTTAAACCTAAAACCATAAAAACCCTAGAAGAAAACCTAGGCATTACCATTCAGGACATAGGCGTGGGCAAGGACTTCATGTCCAAAACACCAAAAGCAATGGCAACAAAAGACAAAATTGACAAATGGGATCTAATTAAACTAAAGAGCTTCTGCACAGCAAAAGAAACTACCATCAGAGTGAACAGGCAACCTACAAAATGGGAGAAAATTTTTGCAACCTACTCATCTGACAAAGGGCTAATATCCAGAATCTACAATGAACTCAAACAAATTTACAAGAAAAAAACAAACAACCCCATCAAAAAGTGGGCGAAGGACATGAACAGACACTTCTCAAAAGAAGACATTTATGCAGCCAAAAAACACATGAAGAAATGCTCATCATCACTGGCCATCAGAGAAATGCAAATCAAAACCACTATGAGATATCATCTCACACCATTTAGAATGGCAATCATTAAAAAGTCAGGAAACAACAGGTGCTGGAGAGGATGCGGAGAAATAGGAACACTTTTACACTGTTGGTGGGACTGTAAACTAGTTCAACCATTGTGGAAGTCAGTGTGGCGATTCCTCAGGGATCTAGAACTAGAAATACCAT
The DNA here is from genome assembly GCF_000001405.40 of Homo sapiens. Lineage (NCBI taxonomy): Eukaryota > Metazoa > Chordata > Mammalia > Primates > Hominidae > Homo > Homo sapiens. Next base: position 266,405 of record NW_025791762.1, on the reverse strand, counting down.
TTGACCCAGCCATCCCATTACTGGGTATATACCCAAATGAGTATAAATCATGCTGCTATAAAGACACATGCACACGTATGTTTATTGCGGCACTATTCACAATAGCAAAGACTTGGAACCAACCCAAATGTCCAACAATGATAGACTGGATTAAGAAAATGTGGCACATATACACCATGGAATACTATGCAGCCATAAAAAATGATGAGTTCATATCCTTTGTAGGGACATGGATGAAATTGGAAACCATCATTCTCAGTAAACTATCGCAAGAACAAAAAACCAAACACCGCATATTCTCACTCATAGGTGGGAATTGAACAATGAGATCACATGGACACAGGAAGGGGAATATCACACTCTGGGGACTGTGGTGGGGTCGGGGGAGGGGGGAGGGATAGTATTGGGAGATATACCTAATGCTAGATGACACATTAGTGGGTGCAGCGCACCAGCATGGCACATGTATACATATGTAACTAACCTGCACAATGTGCACATGTACCCTAAAACTTAGAGTATAATAAAAAAAAAAAAAAAAAAAAAAAAAAAAAAAAAAATGTTTGACATGGGTCGGGCATGGTGGCTGACACCTGTAATCAAAGCACTTTGGGAGGCCGAGGCAGGTGGATCATGAGGTCAGGAGGTGGAGACCAGTGAAACCCCGTCTCTACTAAAAATACAAAAAAATTAACCGGGTGTGGCAGCATGCGCCTGTAGTCCCAGCTGCTATGGAGGCTGAGGCAGGAGAATGGCATGAACCCGGGAGGCGGAGCTTGCAGTGAGCCAAGATCGTGCCACTGCACTCCAGCCTGGGTGACAGAGCAAGACTCCGTCTCAAAAAAAAAAAAAAAAAAAGTTTGACATGGTTCTTTCCTAACAGTTTTGCCTGGTAATTGTCTGCATTTTTAAAATCGTTTTGGCTCTTTATAATAAGCTACATTCTTTATATTAATTTTTTTATTTAGGGAGAAAAGCCCAATATTGTGGTTATTCACTATTTATTCTTTAATAGTAATCATAATTGTCATGGTAAACTGAGTCAGAGGAATTGCAAACTTTACTATTTTATTTTATTTTATTTTATTTTTTTGAGATGGAGTCTCGCTGTATCGCCCAGGCTGGAGTACAGTGGCGCGATCTCAGTTCATTGCAACGTGGGTTCATGCATTTCTCCTGCCTCAGCCTCCCAAGGAGCTGGCCCTTGCATAAGGCGGCCACACAAATTTTTGAAGCATTCTATATTTTGCGCAGTCACTGGAAGGTCATTTGACTGTTTGCTGAGTAGCTTTAAGGAAATGGTGTGAATCAAAGCAGAATGGGTGCCACAAAAACATTGAAATTGTGATTTGCGCAATAAAAATAGTCATGTAAGGTGGTCTGTGAGATGACACCAGAGCCAAATAACGTGTGGGGTGTTGTGTACCAAATATATTGTTAGTATGTATGTTAAAAATTAGAGAATGGCAACTTACAACTTCTTCGTGGAACCTAAAAAAAAATAAAAGTAGGGTTTTCGTCTCCCATGTCAGCTGGAGATGAACATGTATATAAAGCATCATCGTAACAAACATCTGGCTGAGAGTTTGAGTCTGTAGAGAAGGATCATTGGTCCAAGTCAGGTCTTGACATCCATTGGTTTTTCTGCCCTTGGCGTGATTGATCAACTCCGTAATAGTGGACAATCACATTATCTACTTTAATGAGATATTTATGAAAAAATTTAGTTACAAACTATGACATAGTTGAGATGCCCTGAATTAGAAGCCATAAAGAGTAGGACAACTAAGAAGCAAAATTAGGACTTAATAACATTTCCTGAAAACTACAACATTTGCATATTAGAACCTATGAACAAAATTCGCACTGGGTTTTATTTGGGATTCCAAGATAATTTCAGTCATAAAGTTTAGGAACAAATTATTCCATTGTTTTACTATTTCTTTGAGCATTTAAAAAAAATGTTATCGTGTTAAATCATTATAACAACCTAGTAAAATAAGGCAGCATAGTCCTCACTTTGTAGAAGACGACATTGAGCCTAAGAGAAGCAGCTTGTTCAAGAGCAAATAGCTGTTCATTATGGAGCTAGGACTTATTTAGAGTTGGGACACTTTCTATTATGTCAGGCTAACGCAAGTTAATTTACTGGGTCACAGTGCCCTCGATTTATGAGTATTTCATCTTACTTTTTTTTCTTCTTTAATTAGAAGCTTCATGAGAAGTTTGTAGAACGTACGCATAAGTGGATGGGATAATACTGTTAAGTTCTGATATTCTGATATTGTTTGAAATACTCTAAGAATTTTACATTTGGTAAGTTTCCAGATCAGTATTTTAAAACAGTAATTTTATTTGTTATATTTTTATACATAGAATTTGCGAATTAGTTTCTGACTACAAAGAAAAACAGATGCCAAAATACTCTTCTGAAAACAGCAACCCAGGTAAGACTTGTGATAGTGAATTACTTTAGGTCAGTTGTCCACAATCTTTTTGGCACCAGGGACCGGTTTTGTGGAAGACAATCTTTCCATGGGCTGGGGGAAGGTGGGGATGGTTTCAGGATTGTTCAGTCACATTACACTTATTGTGCTACTTTATATTATTATTACATTGTAATATATAATAAAATAATTATACAACTTACCATAATGTAGAATCAGTGGAAGCTCTGAGCTTATTTTTCTGCAACTAGATGGTCCCTTCTGGGGGCAAAGTGAGACAGTGACAGATCATCAGGCATTAGATTCTCATAGGAAGCACACAACCTAGATCCCTCAGATGGGCAGTTCACAACAGGGTTCATGCTCCAATGAGTATCTAATGCTATCACTGATCTGACTGGAGGCAGAGTAGAGGCTGTAATATGAGCCATAAGGAGTGGCTGTAAATACAGATGAAGCTTCCCTGGCTTGCCTGCTGCGCACCTCCTCCTGTGTGGCGTGGTTCCTAACAGACCATGGACTGGTACCAGTCTGTGGCCTGGGAGTTGTGGAGCCCTGCTCTGGGAGGTCCTACCATAGATTTAAAAAGTAAAAGTAAGGAATTTTTGTTCACAAAAGAACAGTGAAGCACAGGTCATGTTACATATGCTTGTGCCAACAAGGTCTCACTGTTACTGACTTCATTCCTCCTATTTTGAAGTTGAAAGAGATGCATTTACTTTGTTGGAACAAGATGTGTTCTTCCACCGGCTGGTTAATTGTCATGATAACAGTAATTTTGTTAGAAGAAGGTGCTCTGCTACCATTTGCCAAAAGATTGTCATAATGTACAATTTTCCCAATGCAAGGGTCAGCAGATTATAATAAAAATATGAAAATGTTTCACAGTAACAAAAATGCTAGTATGCTACCTGGATGTGGACACCTAATACATGGTACAATCCAAACTGTATGAGGACACCTTTAATTTAGCTACCTATTTATCAAAGAGCTTCTGTAAGTTAGGTTTTATAAGTTGCAGGAGACAAAGATGGAATAGATGTAGTTTTAATCTTTAAGGTGCTCACAACAGAAGTGTTTCTATTTCATTTCTGTGGTTTTTCAACAGAATTTACAAAGAAAACATTTTTATTTATGTTTTCACTTGTACACTTAGCAAATAACTGTCAAATGTCTTTTAGATACTAAGCAGTTTTTCTAAGGCTACAGAACACAAAAACAGACAGGAGCTTGTTATTATTATCATTGTCATTTTTATTATTTTGCTGCTTTATTCAGTGCTTACTGTGTGCTAGATGCCCACTGGAATCTTATAATTATGATTTATTATATGTGATATTGATTGTGTGCCAGACATATGTGATGAGGAGTGAAAGCTTTAGAAAGAAAGGAGGCAGGATTTAATGTAAGCATGCAGAGTGAGAAGAATTTTTCAGGGAAAGAAGCAGAGGAATGACATTTGGCAGAAGGAACATGGAGTGAGATAGTGTGTTTGCCAGAAGGAACATCTAATGAGATTGCCCGTTTGGGAGGAAGAGCAGCAAGTGCAGAAGACAAGATGCTTGAGTGAACATGGCAGGGTTTCTGAGCAGTTCACTTTTGCTAGTACCAAAAGCGTGAGATACCAGAGGTTGGGAGTGAGGTGAATACTTAGCTAAGGCAAGTTTACGATAGACTTTTTAATACTATAGAAATGAGTAGGTCTTTTCCTGTGGGCCATGGGAAATTTACCAGGTAGAATGCTTTGGACTGCAAATACTATATGAGCAGTGCCTAAAACACTAGGAACCAGAGTTGTTTTTTTGTTCATTGATATCCTAGGGATCCCACTTGTCCCTCTTTCAGCTGTGCTGTTGACAGTGTTTTATTCACGTCTCCTTTTGTGGTTGGCTAATCTGCAGCAGCTCCAAACATCTTGTTCTCACAACACAACATCGCAAGGGCTGCTTTTCTTCACATGTGTCTTTTAAACAGGGAGAAAACTTAGAAGCATGCAAGGGGCTTCCTGTAACATTTCATTGGCTGGGTCATGCCACATGCTCATTCCCAAACCAGGCACTGGGAAGGTAAATACCTGATTAGCTTAGAATAAACATTTCTTTCTGAGGCTGAGGAGGGGGATTGGGATATTAAATAGCCCAATAGACTTACATTTTTTCTGCCAGAAAGAATGAGGAATGGCTATTGATAGGGAGCCAACAATGTGTGCTGGAGGGGGCTCATTGGAGAAATTTGAGCAGGGGAGTCACAAGATTAAATTTGAGTATTAAGGCATTCTGGTTATGGTGTAAAATGGGTTAGCAAGCTTTTTCTTTAAAGGACCAGGTGGGAAATATTTTGGACTATGTGGTCTCTGTCATATCTACTTAACCGTGCTGTTGTCTGCTGTTGTAGTGTGAAAGCCACCATGATTATATGTAAGCAAACAGGCATGACTGAGCTCCTATAAAACTTTATTTACGAAACCATAATGCAGATTGGATTTGGCCTGTGGCCTATAGTTTCCTGGGATTGATGGGAGATAATCATGCAAAGAAACCAGGAGACAAAGGAAGCTTTTGCAGTAGTCAGCTATAGTTTCCATGTCACACATCCTTGGAGTAGCATCAATGTATTATAAGGTTTTCACCCGTCCATGGTGAAATAAATAACGTTAGAAATCTCAGTTACTCATTTTACTATGTTGGCCTTCGTTATGCCTTTTTCACTTGTTTTGCTTAATTTTTTTTCCTGTAAGAAATAACATTAATAGTTGGCAGTTTTCTTTTAAATAGAAGTCATTTTGTAAATGTTTGTGTTCCCAGTGGCAGTGGGAATATAAAACAGAGGCAGAAGAGAGGTATAGTCAATATGATTTAGTGATAATTGAATGAGAAAGGCTTGGGGGACAGAGAGAAATCTCAGATGATGTACAGGTTTCCAGATTGTACACTAGTATTTAACCTAGACATGAGGAAGGAGTAGGAAATTTTCTGGTGAATACAGAAGAGCAAAGAGCAGCAGGTCAGCAGGAATGACTAATGTTTTTCGATGCATGTTTAATGGAATATTCGTGTAGGGTATTTTGAGTAGGTAATTGGATAATCAGCATTTATAACTCGCATCCTACTAGTTTGACTCTAAGTAATAAGACTTGTCAAAGATCCAAGAATCTGAAAGTCAGTAATAAATGTCCATGTGCATCATCGTCCGTGACAGAAAGTCAGCATCCACAGAACACAGAATTGGGACAGATGAACTTAATAGATAAAGATGAATATCGGAGTTGTTCCTCTTAGGGAATGATACTCTCCATGACCTGTGTGAGTCACAGCTGCCAGAAAAGAAAGAGCAAGGAGCGTATGAAGGCAGCACAGCAAATTCGGTCCTAGAGTGCCCTGCTTGGCTTCATGTCATAGTTCTGACTTCTAAATAATCATTTTCTGCAAAATGTGCTTTGTGTTTTTCCCTCTTGCCGCCTGCAGCCAATCAGAATCTTTTTAGCAGGACATAATGAAAAGAAGTAAGAGAAAGAGTGTTTTTTTGTAATGGGATAGTATTTAACGTAAACTTGAGAGTGAGTACCAGGATTATACTTAGAATTTATGGACTGGATGGGAAGACTGGATAGAAATCTAAAGATTGCTGACTCAAACACAATGTGGTTTCTTTGATTTATTTTCACAGCTCTGAATTCACGACTGTTAATTGTATTCATATGCACTATAACTTTACAAAGCATCTTCCCAAACCAAATATTTACTGATTTATTATAATTTGTATGACTTTATTATAGAACTGACTTTCCAAGTGTTCATGAGAATTGTTTAGAATTTGCTACATTGTATCATCTCAGCTGTGTCCACATGAGCTATCTGTCACCTTGTCTTAATGAATAATTGTTCACTAGCAATATTGGTTTTGGCATTGAAATGATCTATATCTAAATGCAGATAGGACCCGGGACCACTTTTGAACATTAATGTTCAAGCATCTTAAAATTACACATAAGGCTTTCATAATCTGACTTCTGCCCCACTCTCCATCTTTAGCCCTTTTCCCTGTGTGCCCTGTCTCTGGCATTACTGAACTGCTGGCAATGCCCTACTCACTCATCCTTCTATTGTAGGCAAATACTTTCACTCTTTCAGGCATCGCTCCCGCTCTTGCTGCTGCGTGGCATGCTGTCACCCTTTCCTGCCCTCTACACCTTTTAATCTGGCTAGTCTCAATATTTAAGTCTCTGCTTGGGCATGTGTTCTAGAAAAGCCATCTCTGACATGCTTTATTTTAATTGTTTTTAAACCCTAATGCCTAGCATGTATTTAGCAGGACTCAATAAAATATTTCTGAGTAAAACAAAGACTGTTTTTACAAAGATGATGTGCAAGACTCTCCCCTACAGTCTTGGAGCAGAGGGGACAGACATGTGGAGGAATAATGTACAGTTTAGGTGGTCAAGATGCAGTAGAAAAATCAGTAAAGTACTAAGGCAGCCTCAAGGAAGGAGGTACCTGTTTATTTGGGGAAAGACATGCAGAATCAAGGAAGACTTCATATAGCATTGTTTCAAAAGATGAAAATAAGGCCAGGTGTGGTGGCTCACACCTGTAATCCCAGCACTTTCAGAGGGAATCACGAGGTCAGGAGATCGAGACCATCCTGTCCAATGGTGAAACCCCATCTCTACTAAAAATACAAAAATCAGCTGGGTGTGGTGGTGCTTGCCTGTAATCACAGTTACTCAGGAGACTGAAGCAGGAGAATCACTTGAACCAGGGTGGCGGAGGTTGCAGTGAGCTGATCACACCACTGCATTCCAGCCTGGTGACAGAGGAAGACCCTAACTCATAAAAAAAAAAAAAGAAAAAAGAAAAAAAGAAAATAAATTTGTCAGAATAGTGGAGAGAAACATTTTAGATATTATTAGGAAGATGTTGTACACTAATAAAGGTGTCAGCAGTGATTTTGGAAATCATTTATAAGGTACTATTAGGAAGTGGAGAACAGTACACTGTGTCACCTTATATGTTTCTACTGTATTTTAAAGCTGTGTTTCTGGTGGTTTTGTTCATGGATGTTGGGTGGATGAATTTGTGAGGGAATTTTTGACATGTTTGTTTGTCTTCAATCTGGTGACATCTGCTATCTCCCCAAGTGGGTTTTTGAAGTTTTTGAGAATTATTTCTTAAATGACAATTTCACAAAAGATGAAACACTCAATTTATGAAATAAAATGAAATGTCTCAAATCTGTTTTTAAAAGGCAATAGTTTTTAACTGTTTTAAGTGGTTGATTTTAACTGAATGTATGGATTTTTCAACAGAACAAGACTTAAAGCTGACATCAGAGGAAGAGTCACAAAGGCTTGAAGGCAGTGAAAATGGCCAGCCAGAGGCATGGAAACTTTTAAATTTAAACTTTTGTTTAATGTTGTGTTTTTTTTGCCTTAATAATATTAGATAGTCCAAATGAAATTACCTTTCAGACTAGGCTTTGAGAATCAGTAGATTGTTTTTTTAAGAATCTTTTGGCCAGGCAAGGTGGCTCACGCCTGTAATCCCAGCACTTTGAGAGGCTGAGGCAGGTGGATCACGAGGTCTGGAGATCGAGACCATCCTGGCTAACATGGTGAAACCCCGTCTCTAGTAAAAATACAAAAACTTAGCTGGGCGTGGTGGTGGGTGCCTGTAGTCCCAGCTACTCGGGAGGCTGAGGCAGGAGAATGGCATGAACCCAGGAGAGGGAGCTTAAAGTGAGCCGACATCCACCACTACACTCCAGCCTGGGTGACAGAGCGAGACTCCATGTGAAAAAAAAAAAAAAAAAAATTTAATAGATTCTTAAAATTTATTGTAATAAAATCAGCAACCTTATTAACAGAAGAATCAATAGATTCTAATTTAATATTTGATATTTAACTTCAACATAACCCACTATAAAATTTAAAATACTCTTATTTAAAAATATTCTTATCTGCCTTCTTGATTAGCTTATAGCTAATCTCTCCTTTTGGAATAGAGGCAAAAACAAATTTCAGAACTTTGTTTGTTCTTTTATTTTTACAACACCCTAACATGATAAAGAAAGTAACATCAATGATTGAATCATATTATTAAGCAATAGGAATTATGAACAATGTAACACTGATTCCCTGAGCTGGATTCATGGTTAAAGAGTAATCATGGCCTGTGATTGAAAATCCACAGTTTTATATTGTCAGTCACTGATACCAAGGTTAAGGACATATCCTGCCTTGTGGTCTCTCGTTGACCTCAGTGTTTCTGTTCAGGGAGGGAACCAGGTCATAAAAGCAACCCAACTGCCTATTACAAGAACCATATCTTGCAGAATGGGACCTTTGGTGTTAGTGCACAAACACAATAACATTCTAATTTATTTCAGTTGCAGAAAATCAGTAGAGATTAAAAAATTTTATCTGCTGTCATTAGTACACATTAGAATATATTAGAACTGGACTTACGCAGATAATCTGGATACATAACACTATCATATGACAGTATATAATTTCAATTAAAATGTGAGAATTTGCATTTCTTTCTGTTTGGTGTTGATTTCGGCTCCTAATAGTTTAAAGGGTGCCTACAATCCAGTTAGGAATCTTTTAAAAAAGCACTTCAGTGCACTGTAGGTGCTCACTAGTTAGGGTTTCATGAGGTAAACTCTTTTCAAGTGAGGAAGATTTTGGAACACTACAAATCATCTGCTGATTCATTTTTGGTAGATTTAACACATAACAAATTAAATTTAGTCCAAACAAATAGTGAGAAAGTTAAGTTTGCTGGTTCATGTTTTTCTTCTCCCTTTGTCTAAGGTGAATTATTTTTCACATGTTAGAAGCCAGTGATGTGGCAGTAGCTAAACATAGATTAAAAAGTTAATTCTTAATTTTAATTATTATTTATTTTAACAGTTTAATTTTAATTACTTTCTAATTTTTATTGTCCATACTTGATTACTTCAGAATAAAATTATTTTAAAAACATGCACTCCAAAAGAGGAAATGTCACAGAAATACAACAAGCAAATTAACCTTCTGTTTTTACATCTGCAGAAAAGATCTCAAGAACCAGAAATAAATAAGGATGGTGATAGAGAGGTATACCTTTATATTCAAACGTTTGTGTTGAATTAGATTTTTACATTATGTTGTTTAACAAAGTGTAGTAAATGTAGGCATACATGATCCTATCATGTAAGTAGCATAAATCATCAGTGAAAAATTAAATAGTTAACTCAGAATTCTGTACATTGAATTTTGAAGAGGTGCAAACCCTAGAGCTATTCTTTCATTATTATGGAATAATCCCGAATGGTGCCATAAAATGCTAGGTAATGCCACTTTAGGAGCTTTAGACCAATTATTTTATCTTTCTTGGTTTTAGTCTGATTATCAATAGATAATGTGCCTAAAGTAGATAATTTCTTATTCTCTGTATTTTCCAGCTAGAAAATTTTATGGCTATCGAAGAAATGAAGAAGCACGGAAGTACTCATGTCGGATTCCCAGAAAACCTGACTAATGGTGCCACTGCTGGCAATGGTGATGATGGATTAATTCCTCCAAGGAAGAGCAGAACACCTGAAAGCCAGCAATTTCCTGACACTGAGAATGAAGAGTATCACAGGTAAGCCTATGGCAACATTGAACAGGAGGTAACTTTGTGCTGTCAAACTAATCCTAATTTGAGCTAATATTCATGATGAACAAATTTTATACTTTTATTAGGATATTGAGCCTTGCCTGTTAATCAGAAAAATGAAAATCAGCAAACAATCAGTTACCGTTTTTTTTCCAGTCATTAATTTATTTGAAAAATAACCAGTATTGGCAAATGTGAGGGAAAAGGCATTTTCTTCTCTTTTCAGTGAACTTTTATTTTAGCTTCGGGGTACGTGTGCAGGTTTATTATATAGGTAAACTGTATCATGGAGGCTTGGGGTACAGATTATTTCACCAGCCACATAATAAACAAAATACTCGAAAGGTAGTTTTTTGGTCGTCTCCCTCCTGCCATGCTCCTCCCTCAAGTAGGCCCCAGTGTATGTTATTCTCCTCTTTGTGTCCATGAGTTCTCATGTTTAGTTCCCACTAATGAGTAAGAATATGTGGCATTTGATTTTCTGTTCCTGCATGAGTTTTCTTAGGATAATGGCCTCCAGCTCCATCCGTGTTGCTGCAGGGGAAATGGTTTCATTGAAAAAGACATTTCATATACTGTTGGTAAATACATTTTGAACATTAATTGAGTAGCATATTCACACACACATATATAACAGTAAGCCTATATAATACATGTAAAGGATATTTGTATAGATATGTTATATGTATACTTATGTATAAGGACATTTATTATAGTATTATGTAAAAAATTTGGAGCTAGTCTAATTCCTTATCAATAGGAAATAGCTCAATTTCCATATCCCCAAAATAATGTATTATGCAACCATTTTTAAAAAATGAGGTTAGATGTAGGGTATACTGATTATTTCACAATTAAAATGTATTTAAAGCGTTTAGTTTGATGACACATCTTAAGAGTTCTTGTTAAAATTCTTGTAATATCTGCTGTGTTGCAAATGGAAGCTACATGCTACATTGACACTGTACCTTGTTAGCAACAAGATTGCTAGTTACTAAATTTTTGTTGTCAGTGCCTGAGTGCTGAAATATTGGACCCTCAATCTGAATATTGCCAAGGGATTGTACATGGGGATCTATATTTAATATAAACATTTCAGTATATTTGGTAAAACTTTTATTAAAATACATCAAAGAATCTTTGATCTACTAAACCAGGAGTTGGCCAGCTTTTTCTGCAAAGAGCTAGTTAGTAAATATTTTAGGCTTTGTGGACTACATATATTGATTTTCTTGAGACAGGGTCTCACTCTGTTTCCCAGGCTGGAGTGCAGTTGTGTGATCATGGCTGACTGCAGCCTCGACTTTCTGGGCTCTAGTGATCCTCTGACCTCAGTCTCTACTAGCTGAGACCACGGGTGTGCAACATCACACCCAGCTAACTGACACTATGGACTGTAAAGTGAATAAGCATGGCTGTGTTCCAAGATACTTGACTTACAAAAACGGGCAGTGGGCTGGATTTGGCCCACAGGTGCTTATTTGCTGACCCTTGTGCTAAAAGGAAGGTGCTGCTAATGCAGTGACTTTTATTTGTAAAAGTGCCCTGCATGTGTGACATTATCCTCCCTTTGAGAAAAGGATATATTTCAGTATTCACCTCACCATATTTTTCCAGTGACTTCATATGATTTTGAAAACTACATTTATAAAATAAGATTATTTTCTGCATTTCTCCCACTTTATTCCTGTTAATAGAACTCAGTATTTTACTGTGATCAATTACTTCGTATATTTGATGAGTGTCAACTGTCCTAGAATTGGCTGATTTTTATCAAGCAAGAAATATTCTCCTTGAGAGTTTTAGTATTTCTTGGTCTTTATGTATAAGCATGAACAAAATGATAATCAGCTTATGTAATCTAGAAATGTTCAAAGGGCCTTTAAAACCTTGGTCTGACATTTCTAAATGCCATATGTGTATAATTTTTATAACCTTTAGAATATATAATGGTTACATAAAATTTGAAAACTCCACCTGGTATGTAAAATTTGGAAGCTACTATTTCTTGTCTATCACTTTTCCATGACTGTGGATGAAAATTACATCATTCTCAGTCATGAGCGTTAAGTATATTGTCCTTAAAGAACTGTCTACACTCATGAACTCAAATTTTCTTTCCATTCACTCTTGATCTCAATGCCGGTAAGTCTTCAATTTCAGCACTCCTCCAGAACTATTTTTCCTCAAGATTATCACTAATTTTTTTCTGTACTAAATCTAGGCATTTTTCTTACACCTCATTTAATCTGTCAGCAATATTTGAGCCAATGGAGGGCATCTCCTCCCTAATGGCGTCTTCACTTGGCTTTCAGGACCTCACTCCCTCAGGCTTTTCCTCCTGCCTTTCTAGTCCGTTTATCATGGTCTGTTTTGCTTGCTGCTCCTCATCTTTCTCCTTTTGGACATTGTTGTTTCTCATGGCTCAGTCCTCAATCTTCTTTCTCATAATTTTTTTTTTTTTAAGACAGAGTCTCACTTTGTCCCCCAGGCTGGAGTTCAGTGGCATGATCTTGGCTCATTGCAACCTCTGCCTCATGAGTTCCAGCACTTCTCCTGCCTCAGCCTCCTGAGTAGCTGGGATTACAGGTGTGCAACACCACGCCTGGCTAATTTTTGTATTTTTAGTAGAGACAGGTTTCCCCATGTTGGCCAGGCTGGTCTCAAACTCCTGACATCAGGTGATCTGCCCGCCTTGGCCTCATGACATGTTGGGATTACAGGCGTGAGCCACCGTGCCTGGCCCCTCGTGACTTTTTCTACTGTGTATATGCTAGTGATTTCCAAATGTATGTCTCCAACTTAGATCTCTTTCCTTAATTCCAGATCTCTATATCATCCCACCTACTTGACATCTCTATTTGATTAGCTGTTGGGTATCACACACTTGTCAGATCCAAAATTGGGCTACTGATGTCCTTCCTGAAATCTACACCTCATGTAGTCTTTCCTACTTTGGTTAACAGCAACTCTTCCAGTTGCTCTGCCAAAAACCTCAGTGTCTGATCTTTCTCTCTCAGTCAAGATCTTCTTGACTGATCTTTCTCTCTGTCCTGACACTTCACATCTATCTCTCAGTAAATCTTGTCAGGTCTATCTGAAGAATATATCCAGAGGCCAGTCTATCTTGTACATCTGAGCCACCGTCATCTGCAGTTTAGATGAGTGTCATAGACGGGAATTGATAGTCCTGGTTTTTAAAAACTTCCCCTTTCATCAATTCTTATCTCAGTGGATGTATTTAAAACATAAGTCAAATGTTGTCATTCCTCTGCCCCAGCCCTTCTGATTGCCTCCTATTTCACTCTGAGTATGTGGCAGAGTTCCTCCTAATAACTGAAAGGCAGTAAACCATCTGGCATGTTACCTCTCCTGCTGAAACTTCTGTTTCTTATCTCTATTGCTGTGTTTCAGCCACACTGAACTTGTTGCTATTCCTGACCTATCCCTAGTGCTTAAAGACTCCAGGCACACCTCTGCACTTAGCAGTTCCCTGTGTCTGGAATGCTTTTTCCCCAGATATTCTTCTAGCTTACTGTTTCCATTACTTCAGCTCTTTACTTAAAATCCCCTTTCTAAGAAGAAGAAAAAGGGTAAAAAGAAACCCATTAAGGAATAACCACTTCCTGAGGAAGAACCATGTACCAGCACGATTCCTAATCCAGAGAAAATGAAGAAAATGAAAAAAAAGAGAGATAATGAGGACTAACAGAAAGGAATTAGGATTGTATCATCAGGACGCGTCAGGCTTGAGATTCAATTGGGAACATACCAGGGATGCTCTCTAACGTAATTGAGGGAAGGTTCAATGAAACAAAGTGATTTATCATCTTTAACTTCAAACCTGTTTGTGTCTTGACATCAACTCTGTTAACATCATCATTTTTTAGAGTCTTTGATGTACAAATAAAAGTTTCTTTGTATTAAAGAAAAATCCTCTTTCTCAGCAGGGATTTTTCTGGCCATCCCAACTTTCCCACCACCCTTCCCATCAAACACATAAAGATTTCATTTTCCTGCTTTAGTTTTTCTCCTCTAACGTACTGTGTATTTTGCCGTATCTGTCTGTTGTTATTGTGTGTTTATCTCACTCTCATGAATAGGGTTTTTATTGTTCATTACCATATCCTCACTTCCTAGAAAGAGGCCTAGCCTATCAGACGTAGCTACCTAATAAATAGGTATTAAAAGAATGAATGGAGTTTATCCCGGGTATATTGTTTGATTGATTCTCACTTAAAAAATGTTTGACAAGGTTCATTTTAACAATTTTGCCTGGTAATTATATGTATTTTAAAAATTCTTTCGGCTTTTTATAATAAGCTACATTCTTTATATTAATATTTTTTCACTTAGGGAGAAAAGCCCAATATTGTGGTTATTCACTATTCTTTTACTGGTAATCATGATAATTGCAATTATGGTAAAATGAGTTAGAGAAATTACAAACTTTACTGGTATTTTATTTATTTAGAGACAGAGTCTCGCTCTGTCACCCAGGCTGCAGTGCAGTGGTGTGACCTCGGCTCACTGCAACCTCTGCCTCCTGGGTTCAAGCGATTCTCCTACCTCAGCCCCCTGAGGAGCTGGGATTACAGGTGCGTGCCATGACACCCGGCTAATTTTTGTATTTTTAGTAGAGATGGGGTTTCATCCTGTTTGTCAGGCTGGTCTTGAACTCCTGACCTCAGGCAGTCCACCCACCTGGGTGGATTACAGGTGTAAGCCACCACATCCGGCCACTAGTATTTTAGTTTTTTTAGGGTGGTAAATGTAATGGACTCACAAATTCTTTCCAAGGGATTATGGACCTTTGGTATTTGAAATAAAAAGACAGTTGGAATTTTTTGCTTCCGATAGTAAGACTATACTGGTCAGGCACTGTCTATTCTGATGGAGCAGCTGTTGCTGCTTGGCTGTCTTTCAGAAGCAAGCTGCTCACACTGATATTGGTTGGTGAGCACAGCCAGTGGTCGGTCATTGATCGATTGACTAGATTTTGAACTGGCTCTGGCTGGCTTCTTGTTACCATGGCTACAGGTCAATTCTTTCCTAAGTTTGAGTCAACTTTAACCAGAAATTTTCTGTTCAAAAGTTGCCTTCCATTAACTATGTTCAAAAAGAAACTTTTTAATATTCCAGAATTGTGGATTTAAAGTTTTGGTTATGATGACTTGGTTAATAATAGCTCTCACGAAGATTTTTTTTTTTTGATACATCATCTTAACCAGAAGTGTTCTCTGTATAATTTATTTCTTAAAAATAAGTGTTTTGTTTTTGTTTTTGGTATTTTAAGAAGCTTTTGCTCAAGTCCTAACATAATCTCCAGTAGGAGATTTTAGTCTCTTTGTCAGTTCATGTATGTATGTGATAGTCATATTCTGTGTTTTTAAATTCCTTTTCTTGTTCACTTTTTTCTCTGTACAATAATAGTGATATTGTTATACATTTTTATCTCATTAAAAAGTTGTTAACAATTTTCTGCTGGCAAATCTAGCTTTTTCTATATTTTGACTGAATAGGTTAAAAGTGAAGAAAATTTACGAGATCATTTTGTTTTCAAACAAAATCATAAGTAATAAAAATTGCTATTTTGAATTATAAATAATGACATTTAGATATTTTAAAAATAAGGATACCCCCCCCCCAATAGTTTGGCTTTGTGTTTCTATGCAAATCTCATGTCAAATTGTAATTACCAGGTGTTGAGGAAAGACCAGCTGGGAGGTGATTGGCTCATGGGGTCGGTTTCCTCCATGCTGTTCTTGTGATAGTGAGTGAGTTCTCACAAGAGCTGACGGTTTCATAAGGGGCTCTTTGCGCTTCACTTCTCTCTTCTCTCTCTCCCGCCGCCTTATGAAGAAGGTGCCTGCTTCCCCTTCCCCTTCTACCATGGTTGTTAAGTTTCCTGAGGCCTCCCCAGCCATGCGTAACTGTGAATCAATTAATCCTCTTTCCTTTATGAATTACCTAGTCTCAGGTATGTATGTGTGTGAATTACCCAGTCTCAGCTATGTACATATGTATATGTGTGAGTGTATATACACACATACATATATATGATACATATATGTGATGTGAGATATATATATGTATATACGTCCATTTTCTTTATTCCACTCATCAGTTGATGGACACTGGTTGATTCCATATCTTTGCATATTGTGAATTGTGCTGCAGTAAACATATGTGTGCGGGTGTCCTTTTGAGAGTACGATTTCTTTTATTTTGTGTAGATATCTGGAAATGAGAATGTTGGATAAAATGGTAGGATCTACTTTTAGTTCTTTGAGAACTCTCCATACTGTTTTCCATAGATTTGTATGAAGTTGCATTCCCACCAGCAGTGTATCACTGTTGTCTTTTCACCGCGTCCACACCAACATCTGTTGTTTTTTGATTTCTAATAGTGGCCATTCTGGCTGCAGTGAGGTGATATCTCACTGTGGTTTTATTGTACATTTCCCTGATGATTAGAGATATTTAGCATGTTTTTATATGCTTGTTTACCGTTTGTACCTCTTCTTTTGAGAAATGTCTATTCATGTAATTTGGCCACTTTCCAATGGAATTATTTGCGTTTTTCCTGTTGATTTGTTTGAGTTTCTTGTAGGTTATAGATATTAGTCGTTTGTTAGCGTCATAATTTTCAAAATTTTCCCATTGTGTAAGTTGTTGTTTGATGATTATTTCTTTTGCTGTGCTGAAGCTTTTTAGTTTAATTAGGTCTTATTTATTTATTTTCATTTTTGTTGGATTTGCTTTTAGGGTCTTCCTCATAAATCCTTTGCCTAGGCCAATGTTTTCAGGTCTTAGGTTTAGGCCTTTCATCCATCTTGAATTAATTTTTGTATATGGTGAGAGATAGAGATCCAGTTTCATTCTTCCACATGTGGCTATCTTTTTTTCCCAGCACCATTTATTGAATAACCTGTACTTTCTCCAGTGTATGTTTTTGTATCCTTGCTCAGAGATCACTTGGTTGTAGTGGCTTTATTTCTGAGTTGTCTGTTCTGTTCCATTGATCTATGTATCTGTTTTTATACGAGTACCACGCTGCTTCTGTTACTGTGGTCTTAGAGTATCATTTGAAGTCAGGTAATGTGATGCCAACATATTTGTTCCTTTTGCTTGGTATGTCTGTTGCTGTTCAGGCTCTTTTGTGGTTCTACATGAATGTCAGCATTTTAAAATAATTCTGTGAAGAATGACATTGGTACTTTGGTAGGTATTGTATAGAATGTGTAGACTGCTTTGGGCACTATGGTCATTTTCACTGTATCAGTTCTTTCAGTCCATGAACATAGGATGTATTTTCATTTGTTTGTGTCATCTGTTATTTTCTTTGGTGGTGTTTTCCAGTTATCTTTATATAGATCACTCACTTTTTTCATTAAGTATATTCCTAGGTGCTTCACACTTTTTTGCAGCCACTGTAAAAGGGATTGGATTGTTGATATGAACTCTCAGCTTGGTTGTAGTTGGTGTATAGTGGTGCTACTGATTGGTATTCATTTATTTTGTAACCTCTGAGACTTTACTGAATTTATGTATCAAATCTAGGAGTGTTTTGTAGGAGTCTTTAGGGTTTTCTAGGTATAGGATAATATCATTGGTGAAGAGATAGTTTGACTTCCTCTTTTCCAATTTGGATGCCCTTTATTTCTCTTGCCCAATTGCTCTGCCTAGGACTTCCCAGTTTTATTTTTAATATGCATGAAATAAAAGTAAAATGGAAAGTGCTTAACGATGAGTTTATTTCACATCTCTCTCTCATACACAGATAAAATTATTTCAAAGTCCTATGTTAAAAACATATTATACCCTGTCTTGTTCTAAAAGGAATTTCTAAGTTGTTCATAAAATACATAGGAATCAAGAATATAAGTAGAAAGTGTTTCCAAACAATAAACATAAAGAGTATGGGTTACAGGACACAGACCATTAGCAATCCCTGGCCTGTTAGGACCTGGGCCACACAGCAGGAGGTTCGAGGCAGGTGAGCAAGTGAAGCTCCATCTGTTTACAGCCACTCTCTGTCGCTCGCATTACCGCCCGAGCTCCTCCTCCTGTCAGATCAGCGGTGGCATTAGATTGTCCTGAGTGTGACCTGAACCCTGTTGTAAGTTGCTCATGCAGGGGGATATAGGTTGTTCACTCCTTATGAGAATCGAATGCCTTTCTGATCTGTCACCATCTTCCGTCACCCCCAAATGGGACCATCTAGTTGCAGGAAAACAAGCTCAGGGCTCCCACTGATTCTACATTTTGGTGAGATATAATTATTTCATTATATATCAATAATAATAGAAATAAAGTGCACAATGAATGTAATATACTTGAATCATCCTGGAACCATCCCCCACCTCAGGTTCCTGGAAAAATTATCTTCCACAAAAGCAGTCCCTGGTGCCAGCATGGTTGGGGACACCTGGTTAACAGATGTGAGACCCCTTTGCCTTGTCTTGGAATAATGTGCAGATATGCATTGTGTGAATGACATCTGATGGCGCCATCTTGCCCTGTACATCATTTTAGGGACAGCTCCAGTATTTCATGAAAATTAAAATTTCTTCTAGTGACGAACAAAATGATACTCAGAAGCAATTTTGTGAAGAACAGAACACTGGAATATTACACGATGAGATTCTGATTCATGAAGAAAAGCAGATAGAAGTGGTTGAAAAAATGAATTCTGAGGTATTTTCTTTAGTTATTTTCAAATGTTTTTATATGTGTGTATATTTTAAAGAACTGTATTTTGGAAATATAAAGGATTTTTAAGTCATATATATGTGTGTATATATTCTATATATCCTTTGTCATATATCTATATACGTACGTATAGGATAAAGCCATGTTCTTAATTCACCTTCATTTGCCTGCAACAGTTGAGTAGTGACCTGCACAATGGCCTCAATCCAAAGGAGAAGTATTTGATATTTTTCATAAGAATTGATGATCTTTCCACATCAGAAATAAGTTTTGCTACTGAAAACAGATTTTCTCGTTTTTGGACATTAGTTTTTTAAAAAATGTTAATAGAGAAGTCAATTGATTATTTTTACTGATAAGAAAGTAGGAAATGTATAGCTGGGTCAGAGGCCACATTGTGGATACCATTATCCTTACTTTTGCAGAGAGGAACAGTTTGCTCCAAGTAGTTTCTCATTTCAATGTAAAGAGGTTTGAAAACAATGACATGCCATGATACACATTTAGTAATAATTTATTGATAAGTATTTTCTTTCTGGAGAAATAGTTCAGTATATTTCCCCTATTTCACCATTACTACTGTTTCAAACATTATAAAGAGGAAATAAAAGTTACCGCAATGGCAAATAATCTCATGATTTCTAAGAAAATCTCTATAAGTTGTATCTTATTTACCATTCATATTTTGAAACAAAAGGTTTCTTTTGTATTTATATATTTGCACCACAGAAGTAAGTGTGGTTTTGTGGAGGATCACTAGAAGTAGCATCAGCAGACCTGGGGAAAATCCTGCATCTGTGTATATTTTTTGACCTCTCCTTTTAAGAATCGCGATCTTAAATGAGTTCAGTATTATATGTAGAAGAGCAATGCCTAGATACAGATGTGTACAGTGTAGAAGGGTACAGTGCTTAGATTTGACAGTTATAAATAAATGTAATTCTTATAACTGAGTATAGAAATATTAGAAATGTAGAATATCGGTAAAACGTTCTTCAGTAAAAGAAACTTAAAGAACTTTGAGAAATTGCTTCTGTCCAAATATATGCATAGCTAAGGCTCTTAGGATGGTGTGGTTGATAGGTTAGATATCAGAGTGTAAACCTAATCTTAAAAATGTAGTCAAATTATTAATCTTATATTTTATGCCTCTGGGTTTTTTGTAACTCAGAAAAAAGGCTTTTTTTAATTCTGGGATTCTTAAAAATCCTCTAGTGATTTATTTTTCATCGTCTTTAAATAAACATTTAAACTTTTAGGAATTTAGGAGCAGATTCCTAAAAGTTTAAATATTTATTTAAAGACGATGAAAAATAAATCACTGGAGGAATTTACACTCTTATTAGGTTTGAAGTTTTGTCCAATTTTTTTCCAGTTAAATATCCACTATGGGGATTCTTTCATTATACAAATACATGTTATTTTTGAATTTCAGAAGAAATCATGATATGTCAATCTATTGAGTGCTAACTAAAAGTTCTCTTTGTTTACTTAGCTTTCTCTTAGTTGTAAGAAAGAAAAAGACATCTTGCATGAAAATAGTACGTTGCGGGAAGAAATTGCCATGCTAAGACTGGAGCTAGACACAATGAAACATCAGAGCCAGCTAAGAGAAAAGAAATATTTGGAGGATATTGAAAGTGTGAAAAAAAGGAATGATAATCTTTTAAAGGCTCTACAATTGAATGAGCTCACCATGGATGATGATACCGCCGTGCTCGTCATTGACAACGGCTCTGGCATGTGCAAGGCCGGCTTTGCGGGCGACGATGCCCCCCGGGCTGTCTTCCCTTCCATCGTGGGGCGCCCCAGGCAGCAGGGCATGATGGGGGGCATGCATCAGAAAGAGTCCTATGTGGGCAAGGAGGCCCAGAGCAAAAGAGGCATCCTGACCCTGAAGTACCCCATGGAACACGGCATCATCACCAACTGGGATGACATGGAGAAGATCTGGCACCACACCTTCTACAACGAGCTGCGTGTGGCTCCCGAGGAGCACCCCGTCCTGCTGACCGAGGCCACCCTGAACCCTAAGGCCAACCGCGAGAAGATGACCCAGATCATGTTTGAGACCTTCAACACCCCAGCCATGTACGTGGCCATCCAGGCCGTGCTGTCCCTGTACACCTCTGGCCGTACTACTGGCATCGTGATGGACTCTGGTGACGGGGTCACCCACACTGTGCCCATCTATGATGGGAATGCCCTCCCCCATGCCACCCTGCGCCTAGACCTGGCTGGGCGGGAACTGCCTGACTACCTCATGAAGATCCTCACCGAGCGTGGCTATAGGTTCACCACCATGGCCGAGCGGGAAATCGTGCGTGACATCAAAGAGAAGCTGTGCTATGTTGCCCTGGACTTCGAGCAGGAGATGGCCACGGCGGCCTCCAGCTCCTCCCTAGAGAAGAGCTACGAGCTGCCCGATGGCCAGGTCATCACCATCGGCAACGAGCGGTTCCGCTGCCCCGAGGCACTCTTCCAGCCTTGCTTCCTGGGCATGGAATCCTGTGACATCCATGAAACTACCTTCAACTCCATCATGAAGTCTGATGTGGACATCCGCAAAGACCTGTACACCAACACAGTGCTGTCTGGTGGCACCACCATGTACCCTGGCATGGCCCACAGAATGCAGAAGGAGATCGCTGCCCTGGCGCCTAGCATGATGAAGATCAGGATCATTGCTCCTCCCAAGCGCAAGTACTCCGTGTGGGTCGGTGGCTCCATCCTGGCCTCGCTGTCCACCTTCCAGCAGATGTGGATCAGCAAGCAGGAGTATGATGAGTCAGGCCCCTCCATTGTCCACCGCAAATGCTTGTAGGTGGACTCTGACTTAGTTGCGTTACACCCTTTCTTGACAAAACCAAACTTCTCAGAAAACAACATGAGATTGGCATGGCTTTATTTGTTTTCTTGTTTCATTTTTTGTTTTGTTTTTTATTGGCTTGACTCAGGATTTAAAAACCGGAATGGTGAAGGTGACAGCAGTCGGTTGGAGGAAGCTTCCTCCAAAGTTCTACAATGTGGCCAAGGACTTTGATTGTACCTTGTTCTTCTTTTCAATAGTCATTCCAAATATTGTGAGACGCATTGTTTCAGGAAGCCCCTTGCCCTGCTAAAAGCCACCCTACTTCTCTCTAAGGAGAATGGCCCAGTCCTCTCCCTAGTTCACACAGGGGAGGTGATAGCATTGCTTTTGTGCAAATTACATAATGCAAAATTTTTTGAATCTTCGCCTTAATACTTTTTAATTTTGTTTTATTTTGAATGATCAGCCTTCGTGGCCCCCCTCTTTTGTACCCCAACTTGGGGTGTATGAAGGCTTTTGGTCTCCCTGAGAGTGGCTGGAGGCAGCCAGGGCTTACCTGTACTCTGACTTGAGGAGAGATGGATAAAAGTGCACACCTTAAAACAAATTGAGGAAGCACAGTATTTCAGTACAGTGGACAGCTTAGCATGTTGACAACTGAGAATAAAATGCTCAGTTCTGAACTGGACAGTGTAAGACACAACGAGGAAACACTGGAAATGGAAATTCAATTACGTCATTGTAGACTGGCTGCTGCTCTACATGATTGTGACCAAAGTCAGATAGCTGAAAGAGACTTCTTTCCAGAGAACAAGACATGAACAGGTTTATTTACAGAAGACAATGAATTCTCATTTATCTCACCTAAAAGAGAACAGATTCTTTCTCAACAAGTCTAATGAAGACAGTAAAATCAACAGGCTAAAAATTAAGCTCCACGAAACAAGATAAAACTCTGAGAGAAAAGACGGGGCAGGCCGCCATCTTTCCCGTTCAGGCAACTTAGTCATTCCAGCCTGCGGGCTTTGGAGAGTACAAACCGAGGAGGGACAGAAGAGATCCCACAGCACAGCATAGCTGCTTTACCAAATCATGGCCAGACTGCTTCTGTAAGCAGGCCCCTGATCCTGTTCCACCTCACTGGACAGGACCTCCCAACTGGGGCCTCCAGCTACCCCCACCAGCATTCCTTGGCCAATGGAAATGTGAAATGTTCCTGGGACAGAGCTCCCGGAGAGGGGCAGGCCCCCACCTTTGCTCTTTCGGTGACTAGCCATTCTGGCCTGCGGGCTTTGGAGAGCCCAAGCTGACAAGGGGTGGAAGAGGTACCTCAGCACAGCACAGCCACGCTACAAAAACGTGGCCAGACTCTTGTTTACGTCAGTCCCTGATCACATTTCTAGTCAGCGGGTGAAGTCTTTCAACCAGGGTCTCTGGCTACCTTGACTGCTGTTCTCTGGCCGACAGAGGTCTCAGGCCTCACTGAGTCAGAGCTCCCAGGGGGAGGACCAGATTGTCATCTTTGCTGTTTGGGCGACCCAGGCATTTCAGCCTTAGGGCTTCAGAGTGTCTGAGGCGGACCAGGGGCTGAAGTGAACCCCCAGCACAGCACAGCTGCTCTATAAAAACGTGGCCAGACTTTTTTTTTTGAAGCAAGTCCCTGTTCTCGTTCGTCCTGACTAGGTAAGACTTCTCAACTTGCCTCCAGCCACATCTTATAGGTGTGTTCAGATTGGCAACAGGTTCGTACCTCAGTGGTACAGAGCTTCCAGAGGAAGGGGCAGACTATCATCTTCCGTGGAAAATACAAGGTAATTAGGGACTGGAGGGGACCCCCAGCATACCACAGCAGCCCTACAGAAAAGTGGCCGGGCTCTCTACTTGATGGGCAGATCCTCCTGGCCTGGGTCTCTAGCCAGCCCACCACTGGAGCTATCAAGCCAGTAGCAACTCTGCAGTTCCTGGGACAGAGCTTCCAGGAGCAAATGAAATCCTTTCTGCCACTGCCTCTGCAGTGGAACTGCCCTTGCTACCCTCAGAAGATGCAAGGGTGCAAAGACCCTAAGTGCCCTATCAACACCTCCAATAAGCTGCAGTTGACCCAAAGAACAAGCCAGTCCATCTCCCACGGGTACCACACACCCTCCACTACTCATCACCAGACAGGGAACCCTGGCTTGGGCCCACAGCACAGACCCTCCATCCTGGGCTGATTACACTAAGTGATTGCTAACTCACATGTCTCTGGGATGGAGCACCCAGGAAACAAGCAAAGTGGTGGAGCAGCAAGTCAGGTGATGTGGAGCCCAGAGGTCAGGGATGGCTGTCTCTCTAGGGTCCACTTGCCCTTGTGAGACACTTTATCCCAGCACTTTAGGAATGCTGAGGTCATACCAGCCACATCTTATATGCAAGATTGCCCAGCAGAGATCAGGTCCGAGAGTTCCCTTTTTAAAAAAAGGAGACTTGCTTAATAAAAGAAGTCTAGCCACGTTTGTGTAGAGCAGCTGTGCTGTGCTGGGGGTTCACTTTTGAGAGAGTTCTCCTCTGAGACCTGATCTCTGGAGGCTGGGCAGTCTTGCACTTGAGATGGGGCTGGTCTGATCTCAGCACTCCTTAGTCTGCTCGCCTCTCCCATGGCCCCAGCCTGGCCACACCTGCTTACGGGGCACTCTTAGATGCCCACACCATAGCTTCCATGCTAGTGGACTGTACCATATCAGTGGAGAGCTGCAGCAAGGTGGCCTCTAGAGCCACGCACCAGCCTGCACATTGCCTCTCCATACGGCAGCCCTTTATTTGGAAACTTCCTAAATCACTTTGCTGTGTGTGTTTACACGGGTGGGTTTTGCTTTACTTGCCCTGAGAGCACACGGGAGTGCAGCACACACCCCAACCCACATCAACTGCCATTGAAGAAAAGAAATTTCAGCCCAGAATTTCATGTCCAGCAAAATTAAGCATCATAAGTGAAGGAGAAATAAGATCCTTTTCAGACAAGCAAATGCTGAGGGAATTTGGTATCACCAGATCTACCTTACGAGAGCTCCTGAAGGAAGCACTAAATATGGAAAGAAAAGATCATCACCTGCTACTACAAAAACACACTGAAGTACACAGTCCAATGATGCTAAAAAGCAAGCACATATGTAAGTCTGCAAAATAACCAGCTGACAGCATGACGACAGGATAAAATCCACACATACCATTACTAACCTTAAATGTAAATGGGCTAAATGCTCCCATTGAAAGACACGGGGCAAGCTGGGTAAAGAACCAAGACCCACTGGAGTATGCCGTCTTCAAGCAACCCATCTCACGTGCAGTGCCATACATAGGCTCAAAATAAAGGAATGGAGAAAAATATTTCAAGCAAATGGAAAACAGAAAAAAGGTGTTGCACTCCCAGTTTCTGACAAAACAGACTCTACCAATAAAGATAAAAAAAGAGAAGGACATTACAAAGGTGGTCCTGACCTTTGATAAATCTCATTATTGCTTGATACCAACCTGGGCTATTTGTATTGCCCAAACGAATAGGATAATTTGCTGAGGTTGTGGAGCTTCTCCCCTTCAGAGAGTCCCTGATCTCCGAAAATTTGGTTGAGATGTAAGGTTGATTTTGCTGTACAACTCCTTTTTTGAAGTTTTACTCATTTCCAACAAGGAAGGCAAGTTTTCCTGCTTCCATTGACAAAGGAGAGCAGGCACCTCCTTTCCTGAGTTTCAGCTTGCTTCTGACAGGGAAGGTGAGTGTAAGTTTTTCCAGCTTCTAAGATGGCAGAGAATGATCACCCAGTCTGAGCCTTATTTCCAGGTAAGTAGCTGAATTAGAGTTTTGTCTTAAAATTTTTGTTTAATGACTAAAATTTAAGATTACCCACCAGCTGCTTTTAATTCCTCCTTACCATTAGAACACTCAGTTAATCATATGAATTGTGCATTTGTTTGTTTTGCTTAACTCTTTTTGTTTATGTTTGGGGTTTTATTGTTGTTTCACTTTTCTCCCATCTCTTCCTGACTTGGTCAAATCCAAAGGAATGTTCCAAATTGTGGGGAGCAAGGCATCTGAATTGGCTAAAACTCCTGTGGCTGCAAAACAAAAACAAAACAAAAAAAAAACACAAAAAACAAAAAACAAAAAAAAATCCAGTTGGAAATTTTTTAAAACTTTTTTTTAATTTTTAAATTTTATTATTATACTTTAAGTTTTAGGGTACATGTGCACAATGTGCAGGTTTGTTACATATGTATACATGTGCCATGTTGGTGTGCTGCACCCATTAACTCGTCATTTAACATTAGGTATATCTCCTAATGCTATCCCTCCCTCCTCCCCCACCCCACAACAGTTCTCGGTGTGTTATGTTACCCTTCTGTGTCCATGTGTTCTCATTGTTCAGTTCCCACCTACGAGTGAGAACATGAGGTGTTTGGTTTTCTGTTCTTGTGTTAGTTTGCTGAGAGTGATGATTTCCAGCTTCATCGATGTCCCTGCAAAGGACATGAACTCATCCTTTTTTATGGGTGCATAGCATTCCATAGTGTATATATGCCACATTATCCAGTCTATCATTGATGGGCATTTGGATTGGTTCCAAGTGTTTGCTGTTGTGAACTGTGCCGCAGTAAACATACGTGTGCATGTGTCTTTATATTAGAATGATTTATTATTTTTTCAGTATATACCCAGTAATGGGATTGCTGGGTTAAATGTATTTCTAGTTGTAGATCCTTGAGGAATTGTCACACTGTCTTCCACAATGGATGAACTAATTATACTACCACCAAGAGTGTAAAAGCGTTCCTATTTCTCCACGTCCTCTCCAACATCTGTTGTTTCCTTATCTTTTAATGTTGGCCATTCTAAGTGGTGTGAGATTGTATCTCATTGTGGTTTTGATTTCCATTTCTCTAATGACCAGTGATGATGTGGTTTGCTTCACATGTTCTTTAGCTGCATAAATGTCTTATTTGGGAAGTGTCTGTTCATATGTTTTGCCCATTTTTTGATGGGGTTGTTTTTTTTCTTGTAAATTTGTTTAAGTTCTTTGTAGATTCTGCATATTAGCTGTTTGTCAGATGGATAGATTGCAAAAATTTTCTCCCATTCTGTGGGTTGCCTGTTCATTCTGATGATAGTTTCTTTTGCTCTGCAAACACTCTTTAGCTTAATTAGGTCCCATTTGTCAATTTTGGCTTTTGTTGCCATTGCTTTTGGTGTTGTAGTGATGAAGTCTCTGCCCATGCCTATGTCCTGAATGGTATTGCCTAACACAAGGACATTTCTGTGCCTGAGTGCCATACCACCCAAAGTGATTTATAGATTCAGTGCTATCCCCATCAAGCTACCATTGACTTTCTTCACAAAATTAGAAAAACTACTTTAAATTTCATATGGAACCAAAAAAGAGTCTACATAGCCAAGACAATCCTAAGCAAAAAGAACAAAGCTGGAGGCATCACAGTACCTGACTTCAAACTATTCTACAAGGCCACAGTAACGGAAACAGCATGGTACTGGTACCAAACCAGGTATATAGACCAATGGAATGGAACAGAGGCCACAGAAATGACACCACACATGTAAAACCACCAGATCTTTGACAAAACTGACAAAGGTAAGCACTGGGGAAAGGATTGCCTATTTAATAAATGGTGTTAGGAAAACTGGCTAGCCATATGCAGCAAACTGAAACTGGGCCACTTCCTTACACTTTATACAAAAATTAACTTAAGAAGGATAAAAGAGTTAAACGTAAGACCTAAAAGCAAAAAACCTAGAAGAAAATGTAGGCCACCAACCTCAGGGGAATGTACTTGTAGTGAAATGCATGGTACAAACACGCATTCCCTACTTCCTTGAGTGGGTGAGGTTGGTGGCTGGTCCATCTGCTCCAAGTGGACCCTTACAGATGTGGCTGGTTGCTCTTTGAGCCAGCTTGGCCTTGCCCGGCATGCACAAGCATCAGTGAATAACTGTGCTATAAATGGAGCCACATAGAAGAAATGAGCAGCAGGCTCAAGACCATGGTGTGCACTGCCTTTGGCGCTCCAGTCCGTGCCTCAGGGATGGTATGGCACTGCGAGCTTCTTGTTTGCCAAGAGGCAGACCACAGGCCATCTTGAGGAGGACTTTATGTTCAAGTGCAGAAAACAGCCAGGATTACCACCCAGGGGACTTGGCCTTCTGTGGCCGTGGCCAGACTTAGAATTTGTGTCAGGGCAGGGCAAGCTCACTTGGAGCAGCGTGTTGGTACCTGGGGCCTGTGCATGCCAGGGAAGGCCAAGCTGGCTCAAAGAGCAACCAGCCACCTCTGCAAGGGTGCGCCTGGACCAGTTGGACTAGCCACCAACCTCACCCACTGAAGGAAGCAGGGATGACCAGGTTACAGGAGCCTGAGTAGCTGCCACCTGAGGGCTGATGGAGCAGAGGCCTGAGGAAAATCAGATGGCACGTTTAACTGTTTAATGGATCTTGTTAATTTTTCTATAAAGCAGATGTCACCAGTCCATGCCTCAGAGCTCGTATGGCACTGCAGACCACAGAAGGCCGAGTCCCCTGGGTGGCAATCTTGGCTGCTTTCTGCACTTGAACATAAAGTCCTCCTCAAGACGGCCTGTGGTCTGCCTCTTGGCCCTACCTTTAGGGTAGAAGAACCGATGTACCATGTTTGGCAGCAAGTGAGGTTGGTGGCTGGTCCGGTTGCTCCTGGCACACCCTTGCAGAGGTGGCTGGTTGCTCTTTGAGCCAGCTTGGCCTTGCTCGGGATGCACAAGCCTCAGTGCAACTACTGTGCTACAAACGGAGCCAAAGAGGAAATGAGCAGCAGGCTCAGCAGCAGGGTGTGCGCTGTCTTTGGGGCTCCAGTCCATGCCTCAGGGCTCGTATGGCATTGCAGGCTTCTTGGTTGCCAAGAGGCAGACCACAGGCCGTCTTGAGGAGGACTTTATGTTCAAGTGCAGAAAGCAGCCAGGATTACCACCCAGGGGACTTGGCCTTCTGTGGCCCTGTCCAGACTTTGAATTTGTGTCAAGGCAGGAGAAGCTCACTCGGAGCAACGTGTTAGTACCTGGGGCCTGTGCATGCCAGGCAAGGCCAAGCTGGCTCAAAGAGCAACCAGCCACCTCTGCAAGGGTGTGCCAGGACCAGGTGGACCAGCCAGCAACCTCAGCTACTCAAGGAAGCTGGGATGGCCAGTTTCCTACAGCCTGAGTGGCTGCCTCCTGATAACTGATGGAGCAGAGGCCTTAGGAAAAGCAGATGGCCCTGTGGCCCTACCTTTAGGGTAGAAGTACTGATGTGCCATGTGCAGCAGCAAGTGAGGTTGGTGGCTGGTGCAGCGGCTCCTGGCACACCCTCGCAGAGGTGACTGGTTGCTCTTTGAGCCAGCTTGGCCTTGCCCGGCATGCACAAGCCTCAGTGCAACAACTGTGCTACAAATGGAGCCACAGAGAGGAAATGAGCAGCAGGCTCAGGAGCAGGGTGTGCGCTGCCTTTGGGGCTCCAGTCCATGCCTCAGGGGTCATATGACACTGTGGGCTTCTTGGTTACCAGGAGGCACACAACAGGCCGTCTCGAGGAGGACTTCATGTTCAAGTGCAGAAAGCAGCCAGGATTACCATCCAGGGGACTCGGCCTTCTGTAGCCCCGGCCAGACCTTGCAGAGGTGGCTGGTTGCTCTTTGAGCCAGCTTGGCCTCCCTGGCATGCACAGGCCCCAGGTACTAACACGCTGCTCTGAGTGAGCTTGTCCTGCCTTGGCTGCCACCTAATTGCTGATGGAGCAGAGGCATTAGGAAAAGCAGATGGCACTGCGGCCCACCTTTAGGGTAGAAGAACTGATGTACCATGTCTGGCCGCTAGTGGGTGAGTGGTACAACTGCTCCTGGCACACCCTTGCAGAGGTGGCTGGTTGCTCTTTGAGCCAGCTTGGCCTCCCTGGCATGCACAGGCCCCAGGTACTAACACGCTGCTCTGAGTGAGCTTGTCCTGCCTTGGCTGCCACCTAATTGCTGATGGAGCAGAGGCATTAGGAAAAGCAGATGGCACTGCGGCCCACCTTTAGGGTAGAAGAACTGATGTACCATGTCCGGCCGCTAGTGGGTGAGTGGTACAACTGCTCCTGGCACACCCTTGCAGAGGTGGCTGGTTGCTCTTTGAGCCAGCTTGGCCTTCCCCGGCATGCACAAGCCTCAGTGCAACAACTGTGCTACAAATGGAGCCACAGAGAGGAAACGAGCAGTAGGCTCAGGAGCCGGGTGTGTGCTGCCTTTGGGGCTCCAGTCCATGCCTCGGGTCGTATGGCACTGTGGGCTTCTTGGTTGCCAAGAGGCAGACCACAGGCTGTCTTGAGGAAGACTTTATGTTCAAGTGCAGAAAGCAGCCATGATTGCCACGCAGGGGACTCGGCCTTTTGTGGCCCTGGCGAGACTTAGAATTTGTGTCAAGGCAGGAGAAGCTCACTCAGAGCAGCGTGTTAGTACCTGGGGCCTGTGCATGTCCGGGAAGGCCAAGCTGGCTCAAAGAGCAACCAGCCACCTCTACAAGGGTGCGCCTGGACCAGTTGGACCAGCCACCAACCTCACCCACTGAAGGAAGCAGGGATGGCCAGGTTCCCACAGCCTGAGTGGCTGCCACCTGAGGGCTGATGGAGCAGAGGCCTGAGTAAAATCAGATGGCATGTTTAACTCTTTAATAGATCTTAGGTTAATTTTTCTATAAAGCAGATGTCACTAGTCCATGTCTCAGAGCTTGTATGGCAGTGCAGACCACAGAAGGCTGAGTCCCCTTGGTGGCAATCCTGGCTGCTTTCTGCACTTGAACATAAAGTCCTCCTCAAGACGGCCTGTGGTCTGCCTCTTGGCCCTGCCTTTAGGGTAGAAGAACCAATGTACCATGTCCCGCAGCGAGTGAGGTTGGTGGCTGGTCTGGCTGCTCCTGGCACACACTTGCAGAGGTGGCTGGTTGCTGTTTGAGCCAGCTTGGCCTTGCCTGGCATGCACAAGCCTCAGTGCAACAACTGTGCTACAAATGGAGCCACAGAGAGGAAACGAGCCGCAGGGTCAGGAGCAGGGTGTGCTCTGCCTTTGGGCCTCCAGTCCATGCCTCAGAACTCGTATGGCACTGCAGGCTTCTTGGTTGCCAAGAGGCAGACAACAGGCCATCTTGAGGAGGACTTTATGTTCAAGTGCAGAAAGCAGCCCGGATAACCATCCAGGGGACTTGGCCTTCTGTGACCCTGGCCAGACTCAGAATTTGTGCCAATGCAGGACAAGCTCACTTGGAGCAGTGTGTCAGTAGCTGAGGCCTATGCATGCCAGGCAGGGCCAAGCTGGCTCAAAGAGCAACCAGCCACCTCTGCAAAGGTGTGCCAGGAGCAGGTGGACCAGCCACCAACTTCAGCCACTGAAGGAAGCACGGATGGCCAGGTTCCAACAGCCTGATTGGTGCTTCCTGATGGCTCATGGAGCAGAGGCCTTAGGAAAAGCAGATGGCCCTGTGGCCCTACCTTTAGGGTAGAAGTACTGAGCAGCAAGTGAGGTTGGTGGCTGGTGCAGCGGCTCCTGGCACACCCTCGCAGAGGTGACTGGTTGCTCTTTGAGACAGCTTGGCTTTGCCCGGCATGAACAAGCCTCAGTGC
The DNA here is from genome assembly GCF_000001405.40 of Homo sapiens. Lineage (NCBI taxonomy): Eukaryota > Metazoa > Chordata > Mammalia > Primates > Hominidae > Homo > Homo sapiens. The sequence continues at coordinate 235,145 of NW_025791762.1, read as the reverse complement.
AACCTCTCTGCTACATATGGAGCCACAGAGAGGAAACGAGCAGCAGGCTCAGGAGCAGGCTGTGCGCTGCCTTTGGGACTCCAGTCCAAGCCTCGAGTGGTATAGCACTGCGGGCTTCTTGGTTGCCTAGAGGCAGAAAACAGGCCGTCTTGCGGAGGACTTTATGTTCAACTGCAGAAAGCAGCCAGGATTACCATCCAGGGGACTCGGCCTTCTGTAGCCCCGGCCAGACCTTGCAGAGGTGGCTGGTTGCTCTTTGAGCCAGCTTGGCCTCCCTGGCATGCACAGGCCCCAGGTACTAACACGCTGCTCTGAGTGAGCTTGTCCTGCCTTGGCTGCCACCTAATTGCTGATGGAGCAGAGGCATTAGGAAAAGCAGATGGCACTGCGGCCCACCTTTAGGGTAGAAGAACTGATGTACCATGTCTGGCCGCTAGTGGGTGAGTGGTACAACTGCTCCTGGCACACCCTTGCAGAGGTGGCTGGTTGCTCTTTGAGCCAGCTTGGCCTTGCCCGGCATGCACAAGCCTCAGTGCAACAACTGTGCTACAAATGGAGCCACAGAGAGGAAACGAGCAGTAGGCTCAGGAGCCGGGTGTGTGCTGCCTTTGGGGCTCCAGTCCATGCCTCGGGTCGTATGGCACTGTGGGCTTCTTGGTTGCCAAGAGGCAGACCACAGGCTGTCTTGAGGAAGACTTTATGTTCAAGTGCAGAAAGCAGCCATGATTGCCACGCAGGGGACTCGGCCTTTTGTGGCCCTGGCGAGACTTAGAATTTGTGTCAAGGCAGGAGAAGCTCACTCAGAGCAGCGTGTTAGTACCTGGGGCCTGTGCATGTCCGGGAAGGCCAAGCTGGCTCAAAGAGCAACCAGCCACCTCTACAAGGGTGCGCCTGGACCAGTTGGACCAGCCACCAACCTCACCCACTGAAGGAAGCAGGGATGGCCAGGTTCCCACAGCCTGAGTGGCTGCCACCTGAGGGCTGATGGAGCAGAGGCCTGAGTAAAATCAGATGGCATGTTTAACTCTTTAATAGATCTTAGGTTAATTTTTCTATAAAGCAGATGTCACTAGTCCATGTCTCAGAGCTTGTATGGCAGTGCAGACCACAGAAGGCTGAGTCCCCTTGGTGGCAATCCTGGCTGCTTTCTGCACTTGAACATAAAGTCCTCCTCAAGACGGCCTGTGGTCTGCCTCTTGGCCCTGCCTTTAGGGTAGAAGAACCAATGTACCATGTCCCGCAGCGAGTGAGGTTGGTGGCTGGTTTGGCTGCTCCTGGCACACACTCGCAGAGGTGGCTGGTTGCTGTTTGAGCCAGCTTGGCCTTGCCTGGCATGCACAAGTCTCAGTGCAACAACTGTGCTACAAATGGAGCCACAGAGAGGAAATGAGCGGCAGAGTTAGGAGCAGGATGTGCGCTGCCTTTGGGGCTCCAGTCCATGCCTCGGGTCGTATGGCACTGCAGGCTTCTTGGTTGCCAAGAGGCAGACCACAGGCCCTCTTGAGGAGGACTTCATGTTCAAGTGCAGAAAGCAGCCAGGATTACCATCCAAGGGACTCGGCCTTCTGTGGCCCTGGCCAGACTCAGAATTTGTGCCAAGGCAGGACAAGCTCACTCGGAGCAGCGTGTCAGTAGCTGTGGCCTATGCATGCCAGGCAAGGCCAAGCTGGCTCAAAGAGCAACCAGCCAACTCTGCAAGGGTGTGCCAGGAGCAGGTGGACCATCCAGCAACCTCAGCTACTCAAGGAAGCTGGGATGGCCAGGTTCCAACAGCCTGAGTGGCTGCCTCCTGATGGCTGATGGAGCAGAGGCCTTAGGAAAAGCAGATGGGCCTGTGGCCCTACCTTTGGGGTAGAAGTACTGATGTGCCATGTCCGGTAGCAAGTGAGGTTGGTGGCTGGTGCACCGGCTCCTGGCGCACCCTTGCAGAAGTGACTGGTTGCTCTTTGAGTCAGCTTGGCCTTGCCCGGCATGCACAAGCCTCAGTGCAACAACAGTGCTACAAATGGAGCCATAGAGAGGAAACGAGCAGCAGGCTCAGGAGCAGTGTGTGCGCTGCCTTTGGGGCTCCAGTCCATGCCTCGAGTTGTATAGCACTGCGGGCTTCTTACTTGCCTGGAGGCAGACCACAGGCCGTCTTGAGGAAGACTTCATGTTCAAGTACAGAAAGCAGCCAGGATTACCATCCAGGGGGGCCTTCTGTAGCCCTGGCCAGACCTTGCAGAGGTGGCTGGTTGCTCTTTGAGCCAGCTTGGCCTCCCTGGCATGCACAGGCCCCAGGTACTAACACGCTGTTCTGAGTGAGCTTGTCCTGCCTTGGCTGCCACCTAATTGCTGATGGAGCAGAGGCATTAGGAAAAGCAGATGGCACTGCGGCCCACCTTTAGGGTAGAAGAACTGATGTACCATGTCTGGCCGCTAGTGGGTGAGTGGTACAACTGCTCCTGGCACACCCTTGCAGAGGTGGCTGGTTGCTCTTTGAGCCAGCTTGGCCTTCCCCGGCATGCACAAGCCTCAGTGCAACAACTGTGCTACAAATGGAGCCACAGAGAGGAAACGAGCAGTAGGCTCAGGAGCCGGGTGTGTGCTGCCTTTGGGGCTCCAGTCCATGCCTCGGGTCGTATGGCACTGTGGGCTTCTTGGTTGCCAAGAGGCAGACCACAGGCTGTCTTGAGGAAGACTTTATGTTCAAGTGCAGAAAGCAGCCATGATTGCCACGCAGGGGACTCGGCCTTTTGTGGCCCTGGCGAGACTTAGAATTTGTGTCAAGGCAGGAGAAGCTCACTCAGAGCAGCGTGTTAGTATCTGGGGCCTGTGCATGTCCGGGAAGGCCAAGCTGGCTCAAAGAGCAACCAGCCACCTCTACAAGGGTGCGCCTGGACCAGTTGGACCAGCCACCAACCTCACCCACTGAAGGAAGCCGGGATGGCCAGGTTCCCACAGCCTGAGTGGCTGCCACCTGAGGGCTGATGGAGCAGAGGCCTGAGTAAAATCAGATGGCATGTTTAACTCTTTAATAGATCTTAGGTTAATTTTTCTATAAAGCAGATGTCACTAGTCCATGTCTCAGAGCTTGTATGGCAGTGCAGACCACAGAAGGCTGAGTCCCCTTGGTGGCAATCCTGGCTGCTTTCTGCACTTGAACATAAAGTCCTCCTCAAGGCGGCCTGTGGTCTGCCTCTTGGCCCTGCCTTTAGGGTAGAAGAACCAATGTACCATGTCCCGCAGCGAGTGAGGTTGGTGGCTGGTCTGGCTGCTCCTGGCACACACTCGCAGAGGTGGCTGGTTGCTGTTTGAGCCAGCTTGGCCTTGCCTGGCATGCACAAGTCTCAGTGCAACAACTGTGCTACAAATGGAGCCACAGAGAGGAAATGAGCGGCAGAGTTAGGAGCAGGATGTGCGCTGCCTTTGGGGCTCCAGTCCATGCCTCGGGTCGTATGGCACTGCAGGCTTCTTGGTTGCCAAGAGGCAGACCACAGGCCCTCTTGAGGAGGACTTCATGTTCAAGTGCAGAAAGCAGCCAGGATTACCATCCAAGGGACTCGGCCTTCTGTGGCCCTGGCCAGACTCAGAATTTGTGCCAAGGCAGGACAAGCTCACTCGGAGCAGCGTGTCAGTAGCTGGGGCCTATGCATGCCAGGCAAGGCCAAGCTGGCTCAAAGAGCAACCAGTCACCTCTGCAAGGGTGCACCTGTGGTCTGGAGGTTGGTGGCTCCCTGTGTTAGTCCTCCAAGCCCATATTTTCCTTCTGCAGTGCCCTCGCAGAGGTTTCTGAAGAGGCTCTGCCTCTGCAGCATGCTTCTGCCTGGAAACAGTGGGAGGTAGTTTTGCAGGGTGGAAGCCTTCACCAGTGGTTAAGCACCATCTTCATGATGCTGACCTCGTGATAGTGAGTTCTCATGAGATCTGCTTGTATAACATGATGTGGCACCTCTTTCCTCTCTCTGTCTTGCTCCTTCTCCTGCTGTATGAAACATCTCCTTGCCCCTTGGTCTTCTAGTATGATTGGGAGGTACCTGAGTCCTCCCAGAAGCAGAAGCCACTGTGCTTCCTTTGCAGCCTGCAGAACTGTGAGCCAATGAAACCTCTTTTCTTTTTGATCATACAGAAGGTTAGTACTGTGAAGTGAAGCTATGAAATTCCTTCAGGGCCTTTTCCCTATGAAATGCCTTCAAGGCCTTTTCCCCATTGTCTTGGCAAGCAGCACTCAGCTTCTTTTCATGCAAATATCTGAAGCCTGTGTGAATTTTTTCCCTGAAAATGGACTTTTCTTCTTTTACCACATTGCCAGGCTGTGACACAGAGAGCTGATAATGTAGAAGCAGGTTCAGTAGTGGGTAAAAGACAGAGGTCGGGAGAGTTGGGAAAGCTTAAAAGACAGCAAGATGAGGAAAAGCTTGGACCCCTGTAGAGAATTGTTAAATACTTGTGATCAGAAGGCTGACAGAAGGATGGACAGTGAAGGCCAGACTTAAAAGTTCTCAGATAAAAATCAGGAATTTCCTGTGAATAGGAGTCAAAGCTACATTTGATTTGCCCAACAGAGGCTGCACAGTGACCTTGCCCTGGAGATCTGTGAAACTATGAACTTGGGGGTGATGATTTAGGATGTATCTTGTGGAATGAACATCTAAGCAGCATAGCTCAAGAGGTGTCCTGTCTGCGTCGAACAGCCTGTGTTGTTATGTATGAGCTAAGAAATGACCTCAAGTTGGATCTTCTACTTAAATGAGAAGTGGAGCTCAGAAGTTTGGAAAATTTGCAGCCTAGTCAAGTGGTCAAAAAGAAAAGCTGATTTTCAGGGGGAAAATTCAATAAGGCTTAGAGTATTTGCATAAAAAGGAGGTTAGTGCAAGTGTCCAAGACAAAGGGTAAAAGGCCTTGAAGGCATTTCAGAGACCTTTGCAGTAGCCTTTGCTCTCACAGGCCCTGGGGCCTAGCAGAGAAGAATGGTTTACTGGGCCAGCTCCACGGCCCTGCTGCTGTGTGCATCCTCAGGACACTGCTGCCTGCATCCCTGCAGCCCCAGCTCCAGCCATGGCTGAATGATGCACAGGTACAGCTTGGGTCACTACTTCACATGTGGCTCCAAGCCTTGATGGCTTCCACATAGTGTTAAGGCAGCAGGTGAAGAGAGCAAGAGACTAGAGGCTTTGGAGCCTCTTGTCTGGACTCCAGAGGATGTAGAGAAAAGCCTGGGTGTCCAGGCAGTAGCCTTTCCAAGAGGCTCATGGAAAACCTCTGCTAGGGCAGCAAAGAAGGGCCATGTAGGGTTGAAGCCCCCTCACAGGGAGGCTCCATTCTCCAAACCCCAGATTCATAGACCCACCAACATCTTGCACCCTCAGTGTGGAAAAGCTACAGGCATTCAAAACAGCCCTGTCCATGAGAGGCAGCTGTGGGTGCTGAACGCTGCAAAGCCACAGGTGCAGATCTGCCCAAGGCCTTGGGAGCCCAGCCCTCACAGCCCTGTGCCATGGATGTGGGACGAGGATTCAAAAAGGATGATTTTGGAGCTGTCGGATTGAATGACTGGCCTGCTGGGTTTTGGATGTTCATGTATCCTGTGAGTCCCATCTGTGTTTTGTTTTTCTTTCTGGCATTTTTTTTTTCTACTGGCTGGGAATGCTTACTCATTGCCTGTACAATCATTGTGCCTTGGAATTAGTTAACTTGCTTTATAATTCAGAAACCCAGGGGCAGATCGGACTGTAGCCTTGTCTCAGACGAGACTTTGGGCTTTGGACATTTGAGTAAATGCTGGAATTATTTAAGATTTGGGGGCCTGTAGGGCAGGTATCATTGTATTCTGCAATGTAAGAAGCAGGAGATTTCGGGGACCAGGGACAGAATAATATGATTTGGCTCTGTGTCCCTACCAAAGCTCGTGGAATTGTAATGGGCAAAGTTAAAGGTGGGGACTGGTGGAAGGTGATTTAATCATGGTGGAGAGTGGAGTTTGGAAGGTGGGGGTGGTTGGGAGCATTGGGGGGGATTGTGTTGGGGTTGTGGGGAAAGGCAGAGATGGGGGGCAGATTCTTCACAAATGGTTAAACACCATCTTTGTAATGCTGTCCTTCTGACAGTGAGTTTGCTTCATGGTTTAGGAGCTTTGAGATTTGAATACTGGCCTGCTGGGTTTTGGATGTGCATTGGGCCTGTGGTCCCATTTGTGTTATTTTTCTGGGAAATTTCTTCCCTTTGGAGTGAGAAAGCTTACCCAATGCCTGTACCATCATCGTACCTTAAAAGAACTCCATTTTAAGTTCAGGGACTCATTGGCGGAAGAGACCGTAGCCTTGTATCAGATAAGACTTTGAACTTCTTACATTTGAGTTAACGCTGGAATGAGTTAAGGCTTTTGTAAACATTTGAAAAGGCATGACTGTATTTTACTCTGTGAGAATGACATGAGATTCGGCGGAGGGGGTCAAGGTCAGAATAATATGGTTTGGCTGTGTTTCCCTAGAAAAACTCATGTGGAATTGCAATCCCGAATGTTGGAGGTGGAGCCTGGTGGGAGGTGATTTAATCATGGATGGGGGGTGGGTGGGGTTGGAGGGAAAAAGAGGTGGGTAGCGTGGTGAGGAGTAAGCTCGCTGTAGGGTGGTGGGAGGGTGGGGGTAGTAGGAAGGAGGAGTAGCCTGCTGCAGAGGCAGAGGCTCGTAGAAAACCTCTGCTAGGACTGTGCACCTGTGGCTTTGCAGGGTGTAGCCCCCATGGCTGCTCTCATGGGCTGGGCTGGTGTTGAGTGCCGGTAGCTTTTCCATACTGAAGGTGCGAGCTGTTGATGGGTCTATGAATCTGGGCTCTGGAGGATGGTGGCCTCCTGCATAGGGGCTCCAAGCCCATATTTTTTTCTGCACTGCCATAGTACAGGTTTTCCAAGAGGCTCAGGCTCTGCCTCAGGCTTCTGTCCGGAAACAGTAGGGGGTGGAGGTGGGTTGGGGACGGATCCTTCACTAATGATTAAGCACCATCTTCTTGATGCTGACCTCGTGATAGTGAGTTCTCATGAACTTCCTCATAGTGTTAGGCCACTGGTTGTATGGAGCATGAGCCTAGGGGCTTGGGAGGCTCTTTATAGATTTTGGAGGATGTATGGAAATGTCTGGGTGTCCAGGCGAAAGCCTTCCTAAAAGGCAGAACCTCATAAGAAACCTCTACTAGGGCAGTACAGAAGGAAAATATGGGGTTGGAGCCCCCACACTGGAGGCCACCATCATGAAGACCGCAGATTAATAGACCCCGCAACAGCTTGTACCGTCAGTGGGTAAAAGCTACAGGTGCTCAACACCAGCCCAGCCCATGAAGACAGCCGTGGGGCATAAACCCTGCAAAGCCACAGGTGCAGAGCTGCCCAAGGCCTTGGGAGCCCAGCCCTTACATCCCTGTGCCCTGGATGTGGGACAAGGTTTCAAAAAGGGTAATTTTGGAGCTGTAGGATTGAATGGCCTTCTGGGTTTGGAGTTTCATGGGGTCTGTAAGTCCTTTCTGTCTTTTGTTCTTTCTGGCAAAATTATTCCTTTTGGCTGGGAATGCTTACCCATTGCCTGTATAAGCATTGTACCTTGGAAGTAGTTAACTTTCTTTATATTTCAGAGGCTCATGAGCCTAAGGGTCTGCAGCCTTGTGTTAGATGAGACTTTAAGCTTTGAACATTTGTATAAATGATGAAATGATATAAGACTTCGGGGGACTGTAGGGAAGCTATCATTGTAGTTTGCAATGTGAGAAGGACATGAGATTTGGGGAGCCAGGGACAGAATAATAAAATTTAGCTCTGTGTCCCTACCAAAATTCGTGTGGAATTGTAATGGGGAATGTTAAAGGTGGGGCCTGGTGGAAAGTGATTTAATCATGGTGGAGTGTGGGGGTTGGGAGGTGGGGGATAGGGAGAATGGGGAGATTATGTTGGGGGTGAGGGGTGAAAAGTGATGGTGGCTCCTTCACAAATGATTAGACACAATCTCTTTATTTCTGTCCTTGTGATGGTGAGTTCTCTTCATGATTTTGGAGCAGTGAGATTGAATGGATACTGGTCTCCTGGGTTTTGGACTTGCATTGGTCCTGTGGTCCCATCTGTGTTATTTTGCTGGGAAATTTCTTCCTGTTGGACTGAGAAAGCTTACCCAATGGGTGTACCATCATTGTGTCTTAAAAGAACACCCTTTTAAATTCAGGGACTTATAGGCAAAAGGGACTGTAGGCTTGTCTCAGATGAGACGTTGAACCTTTTACATTTGAGTTAATGCTGGAATGAGTTAAGACTTTTGGCAACTTTTGAAAAGGTGTGATTGTATTTTGCTCTGTGAGAAGGACATGAGATTCGGAGGGGTCAGGGTAAGAATAACATGGTTTGGCTGTGTTTCCCTACAGAAACTCATGTGAATTGTAATCTTGAATGTTGGAGATGGGGCCTGGTGGAAGGTGATTTAACCATGGATGGGAGGGGGTTGGAGTTGGAAGGAAATAAAGTGGATAGTGTTGGGAGGAGTGGGTTGTCAGTAGGGTGGTGAGAGGATGGTGGGTATTAGGAAGGGGGAGTAGCCTGCTGCAGAGTCACATCCTCATGGAAAACCTCTGCTAGGGCAGTGCTCCTGTGGCTTTGCAGGCTTTAGCCCCCATGGCTGCTCTCATGGGCTGGGCTGGTGTTGAGTGCTTTTGCATACTGAGGGTGCGGGCTGTTGGTGGGCTTATGAATCTGGGGTCTGGAGGATGGTGGCCTCCTGTGTGGGGGCTCCAAGCCCATATTTCCCTTCTGCACTGCCATAGTAGAAGTTTCCCAAGAGGCTCTGCCTCTGCAGGAGGCTTCTGCCTGGAAACAGTAGGCGGTGGTGTGTGTGGTGGATCCTTCACCAGTGGTTAATCTTCTTGATGCTGATCTGATAGTTCTCATGTGATCTGGTTGTATAATGGGCTGTGGCACCTCTTTTCTCTCTGTGTCTTGCTTCTATTTCTGCCATATGAAACATCTCATTGCCACTTGGCCTTCTGATGTGGTTAGGAGGGGCCTGCCTGATCAGTGTGGGCCTGCTCAGTGGACCTAGTCAGTTGGGACTTGGTCAGTGAGGCCTGTTTAGTGGGAACCTGGCCAGCAGGGGTCTGCTTAGGGAGGGTCTCATTAGGGGGATCCAGTAGTGGGGGTTTTGGCAAGTGGGGACCTACTGGCAGCCAGTTGCTTGGTGTCTGGTCAGTGCAGACCTAGGCTGTGGGGCTTGACCGGTGGCGACCTGGTCAGCTGGGCTTAGTGGTGGCCTGGTCAGCATGGGCTGGGTCACTGGTGACCAGGTCAAGGGGTGCTATTCAGTGGAGGACTGGTCACATGGGACCTAGTCAGCAGGGCCTGGTGGGCGTGTCCTCATCAGTGAGTCCCTTGTCAGTGGGGCCCTGATCAGGGCAGCCTGGTCAGTGGAACCTCATCAGTGGGGGCCTGGTCAGTGATGACTTGGTCAGTGGTGGCTTTTGTACCACTGGTCTACGGGGTGACCCGGTCAGCGGGGACCTGAGTAGTCGGTGCCTGTTCAGTGGGGCCTACTCACTAGGGTCCCAGTCAGGGGCATCTGGTCACCTCAGGCCTGGTTAGTAGGGGCCTGATCAGTGGCAGCCTGTTCCCTGGAGGCCTGGTCAGTGGGGCCTCATCTGTGGGTCCAGGTAGTGGGGTCATGATCAGTGGAATCTGATCAGTGAGGCCTTGTCAGTAATGACCTAGTCAGTGAGGCCTTGTCAGTAAGGACCTGGTCCTTGAGGCCTTGCCAGTGAGGCCTTGTCAGTAAGGTCCTGGTCAGTGAGGCCTTGTCAATAAGGACCTTGTCAGTGAGGCCTTGTCAGTGGGGCCTTGTCAGTAAGGACCTGGTCAGTGAGGCCTTGTCAATAAGGACCTTGTCAGTGAGGCCTTGTCAGTGGGGCCTTGTCAGTAAGGACCTGGTCAGTGAGGCCTTGTCAATAAGGTCCTGGTCAGTGAGGTCTTCTCAGTTAGGACCTGGTCCATGAGGCCTTGTCAGTGGGGCCTTGTCAGTAAGGACCTGGTCCGTGAGGCCTTGTCAATAAGGTCCTGGTCCGTGAGGCCTTGTCAATAAGGTCCTGGTCAGTGAGGAATTGTCAGTAAGGAGCTCATCCATGAGGCCTTGTCAGTGAGGCCTTGTCAATAAGGTCCTGGTCAGTGAGGCCTTGTTAGTAAGGACTTTGTCAGTGAGGCCTTGTCAGTGAGGCCTGGTCAGTAAGGTCCTGTTCAGTGAGGCCTTGTCCGTGAGGCTTTGTCAGTAAGGTCCTGGTCAGTGGAGTCATGGTCATTGTTGGCCTGGCAGCGGGGGTCTTGTTAGTGGGTCCTGGTGATGGGGGTCTAATCAGTGAGGGTGTGGTCAGGGAAGACCTGATGTGTGGGGTCTGGTCAGCAGGAACCTGGTCAGTGGGGACTGCTGAGCGCTGCTTGGAGAAGCCAGGTGCATTGCACGTTATCGAGGGCCCTCTGGACAGCTGGGATGGCCCAGTGATGCCCAACGGCCTGGTCAAAAGTGGACAAAGCAGTTGTTTGGATGGACCTGGGAGATGTTGCTCAGAGATTCTGACAGGACAAAGGTGAAGAAAGGGTCAGAGTGTCTGGAGAGATGGTCACAGTCTATGGGCTGCACAGGATGGAGAAAGCCAGGGAACAGGCAGGGGGGGCAGTGGGGTGCAGGGAGAGGCAGGTGCATGGTGGGACGTCAGACCCTGTGAAGGCTGTGAGGGTGTCAGGTGGGTTGGGCTCCAGGTGCACCCTCAGTGCACTGGGTGGGTATCACCCCAAGCTCCCTGGACCCCAGCCAGGTGATGTGGTCACTCCCTGGGGGACTGCTCTCAGGCCCCGGCTACCTACCCTGGGCAGCGCTGTCCCATCTCAGGACTGGACTTTCTCAGATCCTGTAGAGGGCACAGACTCCACCCAGGAGGGGCAACCGCATGGTGCAGCCTGAGCTCTCCATGGGCCTGGAGCATCCCCTGCCAGCCTTGTGCTCCCCATTCTCCCAGGTCCCACTTTTCCAGTGTCAGCCAGCAGGGATGCCCCGTCCTCCCTTCCCCATGTGTCTCCTAGGCTGAAACTTGTGGCAGATTGGGACAGGGATGGTGCTTCCCTCAGGCCCATTTGGGGAGGGGACTGGCTCCCAGACTGGTGCAGGTCCTCAGCTCTGCCTCGACTGGCTTAGAGTGAGATGGATCAGTCAGTTCCCTGAAGGTGAAGATAAGAGACTGTCCCTGCTGTTGGGAGGCTAGTCTAGGGATGGAGGACTTAACAGGTCCTCCCAGGCTGTCAGGCCTGGGCAGCACTGTCTTGTCTTAGGACTCAGAAAGTCCAGTCCTGAGATGAGACAGTGCTGCCCAGGGCGGGTGGCTGGGACCTGACAACATTCCCCCAGTGATTGACCACATCACACATCCAGGGTCCAGTGAGCCTGGCCTCAGACGTGCCCAGTACACTGAAGGTGCACCTGGAGCCCACTCCACCTGATGCCTCCACAGCCCTCGCAGGGCCTGACCTCCCAGCATGCACCTGCCTCTCCCTGCACCCCAGCTGTCCACCATGCCTGTTCCCTGACTTCCTCCATCCTGTCCAGCGGGATGGGATGGACATGGGGACAGCCTGTGTGCACATTTCGTGGCAAGTGGGAATGACACACCATCTCTGGGAGGCACCATGGTTCCTGGCAAACCCGATCCCAAGACTCTGTCCTTGAGGTGGTTTTACCAAATCCCAAACCCAGAACTGCGGTTGTGGCTCAGGGGTCAGCTCCTGCTAGTGCCAGGACACTACTGGGAGGCTGGGACCCGACCAAAGCCCATGGTGTCTCTGGCCTGAGAACAAGGTGTCTTGGGACCATAAGGCCAGGCCACCAATGGCCATTGGGTCATAGGGGCTCAGCCCCAATCTTTGTCTTTCCCTGGCTCCTTCTGATTCAGTCCCATCAGGGCCCTGGATCCCAAGACTCAGCATCCAAGGTCCCCTCCAGGAATCCTGGCAGCTCAGCATACTTTATCCTGTTTCATCTGAGAGCAAAAATGTAAAATTGGATGCACAGAAAAGTGACTCAAAGTGCTTAATGACTAGAAGAAATCTAGGAGCAGCAAGAAGGTAATGTGGAGGGAGGGACCTCCATGACCGGTGTCTGCAGAGCCAGGGGTACAGGCACCCAGTGCTGTGGCCTGGCACCACCTGCCTCTCAGAGGGTGGGTGGCACACTCCTTAACCAGAGGACAGCAGGCCTGGTCACCAGCTTTTCTACCTGTCCCTGTAAGCATCACATTGCTGGAGGAAAATCTCATGCCAGAGCTTGGACCATCCCTAGCTCAGGGGTTAGGGGTTGTCCCTTGGTGACCTAAATGAAAAAACAGGTCCAGAACAGAGTTCCTGATGCTGGACACTCATTCAGTCTTTGAATCGTGGGAGGGGAGGCCTGGTACTAGGTAGACCTAACCTCTTTGAGGAACCACAGAGCCCAAGGCTGGAAATCTCCAGAATCCTCCACCCCCTGATCCTCCCTGGGGACCCCTGTGGCCTGTCTCACTGAGAACTCTTCCATCTGTAGATGTCTGGGCTGCTGTACAAGGGAGTCCCCTTTCAGGTGTGGTGCTAGACATGGTCACTCCTGCTGGATGTCTAGGTGGTAGAAACCAAGGACCTAGGGAAATACCAGGTACAGCCTTTCCCCGCTCATCCAGAGCAGGACAAACAGGCCAGGCGGTGTCAGGAGCCCAGGTCTCCAGCTGGAGGGAACGTCAACCCTGCGGTGGGAGCAGGGGCCCTTTGCACATCCTAGGCACAGATGGTAATGTAGACACCACAGGTAAGCTGGGCTTGGTACCTACCCCTCCCCGGATTCAGAAAGAAACCAAACAAGGAGCTTTGTGCGGAATGAAACCTCCTTTCCTCCCAGAAGCACTGCTGACTGTTTGGTGGTTGCCATTTGTGGCAGTGAGCCTTTGTTTGTTCTGAGGTTGGGCTGGTTTCTCCTCTTGGTCCTGCCCTACAGATCATAAAGGAGAACAGCAAGAGGTCCCCAGCAAACATCCACAGATGGCCTTGGAAGTAAGTCACCTTGTGAGAAACATGTCATGTTCTGGGAGGGATAAGGCATCAAGTAAGGCCTATGGGGTTGGAGGATCCCTGGGCAGGTGGGGCAATCCTTGGGGTCTTCCCATGGGAATAGGGAGGTCCTGAGGCAGAGGCAGGGGTTCCACAGGAGGAGTCACAGAGCTACCAAAGGCTCTCCTGTGCCAGGAAGCAGTCAACACCATGAACTGAACACCTGCTGGGCTCCAAGCCCTGGTCCAGGCTGGGGCATGTGGGGCCAGGAGGCAGCTCAGAGAGGGAGGCAGAGAGAAGTGTGCTGAGAGGGCACCCATTTCTGGGTGTAATGTGGTCCAGAGATTTTGGCTGGGAAGGGCTTCCAGAGTTTTCATATCTGTTACGGAGCTGCTTCCTCTCCCTAGCCTCACCCTGCAGGAATGCCAGTGAACATACTGCTGACATCTTGGAGCTCAGTACCCTCATAGTGTAACGGCGTCAGTAGATCTGCCTGTGCTTGGACTTCCTGTACTACCCATTCCTGAGGGGCGATGCTTCTGCAGGGCCTGTGACTTGGTGCACAACTTCAGACACCATCATCTTGCAGCAGCACCGCACCCTCACTAGCCAGGGTGTTGATGACTTCCTCAAGGCCAAGGCCACATTCAAGGCTTCGGACTTTATTGATGCGCTTGTGCTGAGCAAGGTGGCTTCTCCAGGATCTTAATTCAGGAGGTAGAATGGAGCTTGAGATCAAGTGTCTGATCAAGGTACTTGAACTTGATCTGGAGGGCTCTGGGGAGCCATGGAAGGTGCTGGATAAAGGAGTGACAGTCAGCTATGTTTTCGAGATGACTGTAGAAGGCTGCCTGGAAGGAGTGAACAAGAGCCAGGAGACCAGGGAGGGAGCTTGTGGGGCAGGTCTGGAGATGGCAAAGGAGGGATCCTGCTTGGATGAAAGGTCTTCAGGGACTGTCTCAGGTTACACACAGGTGTCCTCAGAGCTAGTGTGTTCAGAGTCTTGCCTCCAGGATGAAAATGGGAAGGAGTTGTCAGACGAGGACATATAAATGGAGGCTGGCATATTCATGAGTGCTGGTGGTGGTCCCGGTGTGGGACTACTGTGGGAACAGGGGTCTCTCCATCCAGGGATATGATGGATGGACCCTACATCACTCCATTCTGCCCTTCCTTTCCCTCCTCCCATTCTCCCCAAAGCCTCAGTGTATGGGCGCTGTTCATCCTCTGGTGCTGAAGCAGCCAAGAGACCCAAGTCTGCCTGGCTGCCTCTTAGGATATGACAGCAGAGCCAGTGGCCTCTACTAGATCCTGTACAACCTCACAAAACACCCAGACATCGGGAGTGCTGCCAGCCTGTGATGCAAGAGTCCTAATCCTGAAGACATTGAATGGTGGGTGCAGGGCCTCATGGCCTGTTCCCCAGCCCCTCTCATTGGCTCTGCTCCAGGTGGTGAAGGGGGAAAATGTTTTTGTCAATTCTGTCATGATTGCCTAGCAAGAAAAGGAGCAGAACCCAGAAGCAGTAAAATCAGTTAGTAAAATCAGTTTTCTTTTCTGAACTACATTTCTACCATCTGTAACTGAGGGGAATTCCTTCGACTCCACGAGATTGCTTGGAGAATGACTGACAGTGTATGTAGAGCAGGTGCCAGCCAGCAGGCGTTTGGTGTCCAGAGCACTCTTCCCCCTTGATTTTCTGCCTATATTTTCATTTTGTTCCCAAGACCCTCACTCCCCTTAATTTTGCTTTTCCCTCTGATTCCCACCTTATCTTCTATCCCATGGATTCACCAGGATGTAAGTGGGTAACAGTCATCTATGCATGTATGTGTATGTGTGTATGTTCTCTGTTGGTGTTGGAGTATGGTGTGTGTGTGTGAGAGAGTGTGTGTGTGTGTGTGTGTGTGTGTGAGAGAATGTGTGTGTGTGTGTGTGTGTGTGTGTGTTGGGGTCACTGAGGGACTGAAACTCTCCACACCAGGCTGTGGTCCTGCTCACTGCTGGAGGCGCTGTCAGGGCTCTTGCCATTGACCCTCCAGGTCTCATTCTTGCAGTGCAGGCAGGGCATTCTGGAGGAATCATGTCCTTGGACGAAGCCCTGAGGAGTGACTGGTGTGTATTGGTGGATAAATAACCCAACTCCCTTGCTCTGGGTGGGATGACTCTGAGGCACATGTTCTATGCTGTCTCTCAGAGGTACCCGGCAGGGCTGAGTCCTGGCTGCCCACAGTGGAAACTTTCTTGATGAAGGTCCCTTTAACTGCTACATTCCATTCCTGTCTCAGTTCCCCACTCCTCTACTGGTGTTGCCTGCAATTAGTACTCTAAGGAAGAACTGACAGTAGAATTACTGTCCTGGAGTCATCTCCAGATAAAATTTTTATACTTGAATCTTTGCCTCAGGATCTACTTCCAGGAAACTTAAACTAAGACACACATTTTTCTTTCCTCCAATCTTCATAGACCTGTCATTCTGCTGTTTTTACCAAAAAGGATCATGAGGATCAGAGAGGAAAAGTCACTTGCCCAAAATCACACAGCTGAACAGTGGTGGAGTTCAACTTTGACCATGGGCTGTCTGGCCCCAAGGTGTATGCTTGCTTCTCTCCCAAGAGACTCCTTTCTTATCAGGCTCAAATGAATGAAAGGAGGATGTTAAAGGTAGGATCTCTGAAGCCTGTGCCAGTGGAACCGCAGCTCATGGCTGGCACCTGTGTTCTCATTCTTACCTCATTGAGAGTAAAGTTTATTGAGTTTATTGAATTTAAGTATCTTTAGTGAGATCATATATTATTAGTAAGAACTGGGACCAAACAGATTTTCTGACTCTAAAAGAGAGATTTTCACAGAAACAGATATATACCTATAAGTATACAGACACGCATACACACATTTCTTTACTGCTCATAAAAATTAGTCCTTATTAGAATGTGGGATGTATAAATGTAAGAGAATTTTCATGTTAAAATTGACAGATACATTTTTAAATTGTCCTAAAAGAAATTTAATTATTTTTCTTTTAGAATTTTCCATTATTAATGTTATTTTTATGGAAAACTATATAACTTTATTGATAATACATACAATAACCCTTTGTTTTTCACATTGAAAATACAGTGTATTTTGCAAATAACTAAGTCCTAATTTTGTATTAAAATTTAAAATTTTCAATCTTTTTTTATTATATTTTAAGTTCTGGGATACATGTGGAGAACGTGCAGGTTTGTTACATAGGTATACACATGACATGGTAGTTTGCTGCACCCATCAACCTCTCATCTACATTAGGCGCTTATCTACATTTGGTGCTACATTATGATATGGAGAAATAGGAACGCTTTTACATCGCTGGTGGGAGTGTAAATTAGTTCAACCATTGTGGAAGACAGTGTAGTGATTCCTCAAGGATCCAGAACCAGAAATACATTTGACCCAGCAATCCCATTACTGAGTATATACCCAAAGGATTATAAATCATTCTACTATAAAGACACGTGCACACATATGTTTATTGCGGCACTGTTCCCAATAGCAAAGACTTGAAACCAACCCAAATCCCCATCAGTGATAGACTGGATAAAGAAAATGTGGCACATATATACCATGGAATACTCTGCAGCCATAAAAAAGGATGAGTTCCTGTCCTTTGCAGGAACATAGATGAAGCTGGAAGCCATCATTCTCAGTTAACGAACACAGAAACAGAAAACCAAACACCGCATGTTCACTCATAAGTGGGAGCTGAACAATGAGAACAAATGGACACAGGGAGGGGAACATCACATACCGGAACCTGTCAGTGGGTGGGGGGCTAGAGGAGTGGGGGAGGGATAGCATTAGGGGATTTAATAATTTTAAAATTCAATTCTGTTGAAATGTTTACTCCAAGAAGCAATGTGTTTTTGAGAGCTAATCCTGATATATTCAAATCTTAACGACTTAAGTTGATGGAGTGGACTTCTTTTAAATTAGTGATTCCCTAATTTACCTGACAGTTGGAATTTCCAGGCCATGTTGAAAATACAGATTATCCAGACTCTTACTTCTGCAGATGTATTTAGTGGTTCTAAAATGGCACCCAGGAGTCTGGATTTTTCCCAGGGGCCTTGTGTAATTCACACTGATGACCAGGCAAGTTTGGGAAATTGTGCCTTAAGGAGATTTTTCATTAAGCAGTCTTCATTTGAAAAGAGGATCATTTATCTTCTAATACCCCATGCTTCCTCTTTCTCCTGCTCTCTTTGTCTCCTGTTGTCTTTCAGTTCCTAGAAGCTTTAATTGAATGAAAGTTCCTAGTAGATCTGTACCTACTAAAAACCACACTTCTGAAGCTACGTGGCCACCAGAAGACACAGCTAGTCTGCCATGTAAAAAAGGAAAGGTGGCGTGTGCCCTGAAGGCGCAGGGGTGAGAGGCAGGGAAATGGAGACCCCCACAGCCAGCATCAGTGGCCCTCATCACAGCCCTCCAGGAGATATCAAAGGAGGTCAGACCTTGGACAGTAGTCTTGACTTCCTGCTATAGAACACATTGTTAACACTGAAAAAGATGATCTGTTCTAGGGGAATGGTGAAAGCTGACTCTAGCACTTGTGCTTTTTGTTTGTTTGAGATTTGAGTCTTGCTCTTGTTTCCCAGGCTGCAGTGCAATGCGTGATCTCAGCTCACTGCAGGCTCTGCCTCCTGGGTTCCAGCTATTGTCCTGCCTCAGCCTCCCGAGTAGCTGGGATTCCAGGTGCCCGCAAGTGTGCCTGGCTAATTTTTATGTTTTTAGTAGAGATGGGATTTCGCCATCTTGGCCAGGCTGTTCTCCACCTCCTGACCTTGGCCAAAGTGTTGGGATTACAGGCATAACCCATTGTGCCAGGCCTGTGTTTTTAATTTCATCATGGCATAGCTTCAAAATGACATCTAAGTAGCTGACATAAAAATGAAAATTCTGTGTACTTTGATATTAGCAGGCTTCAAATACAAACCAGAATATGAGTAAATTGTTTCTTAGCCAAACTGAATAATTTTCACATTGGCAGGCCATTGGTAGGCTATTCAGCATCTGGCTCATGTTTGGGCCAAGCTGGGTGCCTCATGAAAGTCTGGAGGGAAATACAGAGGGCAATTCTCCATAAGCATTAGGCTCAGAAATATCCTGCTTCCCAGTGAAAAGTTTAAGTTGACTTTCACGCCACCTTCATCAAACCGAGGTTGGTCAACACTTTTCACCACTGCCACTGGACACTTTGACTTCCAATTTTGCTACCTGCTGTACAAAGGTACCCCCTTCTTTCCTTTCCTGCATTCTCCCTACAACCTTGTCTTTTTTTGAGTACATCCACTCTGTCTCATCATTGTCCATCTCTGCTTCCCAAAACCTTATATAGTACAGAAATTGGCCAATCAAGATTACCATGTGGAAGAGCATCCATTTACTGAATAAGGTAGCTGGCTCCTGGGGGCAGAAAAGTGATTAGACACAGAGATAAAAATCATAATCCCTGCTCTCCTGGACTCACTGTCTAGTGGGCAGACAGACAGATGAACAAATACAACTTGATAACTACAACAATCAAGTGAATTATATAATTTAGACTGGAGAAAGAGAGCAAACGTTATCATAAGACAGTGTGTCCACTACTTACTCTCTAACAGATTTCCTCATAAACCACTAGGCTTGCCAACTTGTTGAATGAGATAAAATTGGAGGGTCAGGGGAGGGGAAATGCATATGCTTCTTAGTATTTCATTCCATAAATACATAAATAATGAAACCATTAATGATATCATCATGTTGATTCAATAAGTTTGAAAGCAAAATTGATAGTAATCTTTGGAAGAAATTGTATATGTGTCTATGTATGTACATACATAGACATACATATTGCTTTCTGAAATTTTCAATGACTTTATGCTTCTTCTGAAGCAATTCGAGTTTAGAATTTGAGACCCCTGGGTCAAAACATCTTCTTGAGTATACTGAAGAACATTTGGATTAATTTCAGACACGTATTTTGGTTTATATAGTGTTTTTTATCCATGGTAACTTATTTACTGTTTAAAAACATATTGAGAACAAACAGCAGCAGCAACCCTGAATTGAGTGAAAGTCCTGAGAAGGGCTTTGCCCAATCAGTGCATGTGCATGTTTACACTAATCTCCTGTCTGAACCTAGGAACTGGCTGAATGAGCTAGCAGATGGCCTGTCTGGCTGCATTATAAATGATAATTTATTTTTATTTGTTTTACTCATTCATTCATTTTGAGACAGGGTCTCACTCTGTCATCCAGGCTAGAGTATGGTGACACAATTATGGCTCACTGCAGCCTTCAACTCTCAGGCTCAAGCAATCCTCCTGCCTCAGCCTCCTGAGTAGCTGGGACTACAGGTGCACACCACCATGCCCAGCTAATTTTTAAACCTTTTTTTGTAGAGACTGGGTCTTATTATGTTGCCCAGGGTGGTCTCAAACTCATGGACTCAAGCGATCCTCCTTCCTTGGCCTCTCAAAGTGCTGGGATTACAGGCTTGAGCTACCACATATGGCCAGAAATGACATTTTAAAACCAACTATTACGTACACAGATATATGATGCTCTCCGATTGTTTTATCTAAAAATAGGAGTGCCTTAGGTTTATTGGCTCATTTTGTTTTATCAAACAGCTTAAATGCAGTTGTGAATATTTTTGTTTACCCTCATAACCTGAGAATTTAGAATGAATATAATTATTGCCATTTTCACAAGTAAAATTGGAACGAGAATATAAAACAGTGGAATACAGGTGCAGCTAAGAGTAGCAGAGGTAAGCCATCTATAGAATATTAAAATTTCTTCCATGTGTGTTGTTAGAAATCTATAAAACCAAAATTTTTTCATGCCTGGAATCCCAGCACTTTGGGAGGCCAAGGCGGGCAGATTACCTGAGGTGAGGGGTTCGAGACTAGCCTGGCCAACATGGTGAAACCCCGTCTCTACTAAAAGTACAAAAATTAGCCAGGTGTGGTGGGCACCTGAAATCCCAGCTACTCAGGAGGCTGAGGCAGGAGAATTGCTTGAACCCGGGGAGTGGAGATTACAGTGAGCCAAGATTGTGCCACTGCACTCCAGCCTGGGCGACAAGAGTAAGACTTCATTTCAAAACAGCAACAACAACAACAACAAACAACAAGAACAACAACAACAAAACCCAACATTTTCTAATACAAGGAAACTCACTAAGCTTTATAAGGCCCCCATCCCTCCAAGTATTATCCTTTCCGGCTGCCCCAACATTAATGACAGCAACTGGTACTAGCCATCTGACATACAATCCCAGTACATTTTTGGGCTCTGATGTTTTCTAGGAATTTTTTCTTTACAGACTTATTGAAATTAAGCTCTATTCCCTGAAGACCTGGTTTTCGTAAACTGTATAGTTTTGCAGTTGAGGGGAAATGGTCTTAGGTCAGTCAATCCACTGTTGACACAGAAATGAAATGAGGTAACGGTAGGATTATTGTTAAGATTGAGAGATGTATGAATCATCCTATGCTCTTTCCCAGCCCCCAGGTGACCATATAATTAAAATATCCTTGATATTTCTATGTAGTTTAAGTTTTTAATTCTAGAACCCCTCAATCTTTCTCTATTCAACTTAAATGAAAAGACATTTAGTATCCAGAAGACACTCAGCAC
Organism: Homo sapiens; assembly: GCF_000001405.40. Lineage (NCBI taxonomy): Eukaryota > Metazoa > Chordata > Mammalia > Primates > Hominidae > Homo > Homo sapiens. Next base: position 214,417 of record NW_025791762.1, on the reverse strand, counting down.
TCAGAAGCAAAGGAAGAAAAATGGAAACATAATGGTCAATGCCCATGTTCTACCCCAGGATCAAATGAGGCATTAATATTGAGAGTTGTGATTCTGAATGAGTCTTAACCTCATGCACATCTTAGTTGTTCAAAAATGTGTCATGTCAGCAAGGTGGTAACAGTGAAGATTTTCTACAATCAAAATAGTATAGTTATGTTCTGTTGTATAAAATAGAAATAAATGGACCACATTGATCAGAAAAATCACCCTAGCATATTCCGACAGCTTAATTTTTAAAAAGCTATGTTATATTAACAATTTAACCACATAGATCTGTCAGCTAGAATACATGTTGCATATTTAATTGACAATAATTTTTTTTGCTCTCTCAGAGAGTTGTAGATAGATTTTGGGGTTATCAAATGGTTCTGACTTTTTTTTTTTTTTTTTTTTTGAGATGGAGTTTTGCTCTGTCACCAGGCTGGAGTGCAGTGGCAAGATCTCAGCTTACTGCAACCTTTGCTCCCTGGTTTAAGTGATTCTCCTGCCTCAGCCTCCTGAATAGCTGGGATCACAGGCGCACGCCACCATGCCCAGCTAATTTTTGTATTTTTAGTAGAGACGGGGTTTCACCATGTTGGCCAGGATGGTCTCAATCTCCTGACCTCGTGATCTGCCTGCCATGGCCTCCCAAAATGCTAGGATTACAGGCATGAGCCACTGCGCCCGGCTGGTTCTGACATATTTTTAAGAAAGTTTAGGCTGATGCTATGGTAACTCAGTTATTGATGATACAGGTCATCTTGTAAGTAGGAGTATTCAATATTCATGGTTTTGAAGCAATTTCAGAGTACTATAATCACCACACTTGACAGACTTCAGAATTCATTGAAAATCTCTGGAAATAATTAGCAATTTGTTATCATAGACTCTAAACAGACCTTCAAAATGCATTACATAGATTTGGTAAAACAGATTGTCAGTCTGCCAAAAGTAATCACTTTGGTTTGATTTGCATTGAATGAAAATTTTAAAATGTAAAGCTAAACTCTTCAGGATCACTGCACTGGGTTTCTATAGGACAACACTGAACAGGGCTGCCACTGAAACACCTTGGATGAGAGCCTCAAACTCCCTGAACACAGCTTCCAGCACACTACTGGGAGAATGATTGGGACTCAAAAATATGTGCAATGAATGTACTTACGAGCTTGTTGGAAAGGAAGTAAAGAGGTTGTATGTAATTACCTCAAATTAATACTGCTACAGATAAAGTAGTAATTAGCACTGACAAAGTAATAGTAGCGCTAAAGTAGTATTAATAGCCCTACACTAGTAGTAGTAATAAAGTGGCATCGCTATTGATTCTATCCGTCTACCTACCTACCTGTCTGGATAGGAGGGCATAGGATTTGACTGTAAGATTGGGCTTAGCAGTGAAAACAAAAGAGCTCATGCATGCTTTGGACAGGTATGCACTCAAACTTGGTATCATGTGACTGTTCTGAATTCCAGAACCAAGGCTAAAAGGTGGAAGTTTTGTTTGACTGTGTCTCACATTTTCCTTTTGGTCTATTGTCTAACACATGTTGCTAGAATTCTTTTTATTCTGACTACCTTTTATGTATAGACAACGCCATTATTGACGAGATCACTCCCAAGCGGATTGGAGATTGTCCCAATACTTAGACCTATAGCAAGGCCTTGGGAGAAATGGTGGTGCAGCAGGAGAGCAGGAACCTAACCATTGCCATCCTAAGGCCCTCCATTGTGCGGAGCAACGTCGCACCAGCTTTTCCTGGTAAGCCCACTTACCTGGATTCTGTGTTTTGCTTTCAAACTAAGGTTCTTCTAGCCCAATTATTTTCTGATGTCTTTCTTCTTCTTCTTCTCCTCAGGATTTATAGCTAAGTGCAGCCAATCAAATATTAACCCATTATACTAGGGCAAAATTCCACTTTGGGATCATGTGGCTCTTCTGGCAGTTACCCTATCTTAGAGTTGGATGGAGATCTTAAATTAGCTTCTAACTACTCTAGTCTCAAAATTCCCATGGGTGATGTTTTCATATCTTGGCTTTCCCACTGTAGCTTAAACATATCAGAATGTTCTTGGTGGCCAAATTGGTAGTATTGCAACTAACTGCCAGGGTTACAAAGCTCACAGAAGGATCTCAGTTTGGGAATACTAATTTTTTTTAACCTCAGTATACTGCTATGTCCTTTTGAAAGTACTTTGAATTATACCATCTTCTTCAAAGCAAGTCCGTGAAGCTTTGGGGGCAGATACATTCCAGCTCCACCACTTACTGGCAATGCAACATTTTTGAGTTGTTCTTTCGGTAGAACAGGACAGATACTACTTTGGAGAGTTGGTTTAATGAGACAATGTATGAGGAGTGCTCAGTCTCTAGTAAAAGGTAGATCCCTACTAAAAGGCTCAACGAATATTAGTCCCTTCATCTTCTCCTCCCGTATATCTGGTCTCCCATTATATGCATTTCGACTTTTATACTGTAAGGTAAAGAGACGGCTTAGGGCTTAGGAAACAAACTCAAAAAGACATTTCCCTCTAACTACTCTTAAGCATAATCTTTCCTGTAACATCTTTAAGCAAGTCAACACACATTATTACCAATCATGTTTTCAATGTTCTCCTAAGGAGGCTAAAATCAGGAATGAGGTGAAGTATGGTTGGTGAATTGCTTAGCAGATCATGATATAAGGACAAGGTCCATTGTAGCCCTTAAGTTGTCATAAAACACCACAAAACCATTCATGACTCCTGCTACAAACAACAATCCTGGCCAAATTTTAATTCTTGCACAAACTGCAGAAAATAGCCAACGCTTTGCCATTGATCTTTGGGATCTTAATAATACTGAATTAGATAGTTCTATCGGCTGGAGTCTCAGTGCCCTTGTTTGAAATTTATTAAGATTAGACGGCAGATGTTCCAAAGATACAACAATTTTCTGAAATGTGTAACCAATGGAAATTTTCTTTCTTTTAGGGTTGGGTTGATAATCTAAATGGATGTAGCCGACTCATTATTGCGGTATGTATAGGGATGAGGAAGTAACTGTAATGTAGTGGAGGAATAGTAAGAAAATTCTTAGTGCTGGCTTAGCTTCATTGATCCAAAAACATAAATGCTACTTTACTATCAATTGAAGCATATTATTTCAATTATTCTGGTTATAATATGGAGGCAGGATGAAATTGTTTTTATTCTTTTAGAATTTTTTTTATCAGGAAAACAGAGGTAAAGTGCTATCAATTACTATTTAAGAGTTCTATTTTGAAAAGTGAGAATTAAGGATTTTTCTTTTCTTTTTAAAAAAAACTTTTTTAAAAATTAAAAATAAAAGAAGCAAAAGTCTTAGGAAAATGAGGCAAGTAGCCCTGCCACTCTATGTACAGTAATAACAATATCTGTCCCAGTTATTATGTACAATATTATAAAAAATGTCGCAGACAGTACAAATTAAGGCCCTTATTTCTCAAAGGACATCAAGTCTTATGCCCCGTGGGAGGGAAGATGCCACTTAATTATTGCACCATTTTGAAAAACAGAACTCATCAAGGCGGATAGTGGTCTTTTCCCACCTGGTCTTCAGTCACAGATGGGGGCTGGGGTGGTGGCGCCGTCTTCGTCGTCGAGGTAGACCCTATGGAGCCACACCGCCCTGCCGAGTTCTCTGGGTGCAATAAATACCAGTCACAGTTTGGGAGGGGGCCGCGTGCAGGTGGGGAGGCCTCTGGGCTGCATGTGCCGCTTCCTGTGCAGGGCAAGGTGGGCAGAGCGCAAGAAGGCGTGGTGGCACCAATGGCCCTGAAATGGCCGGTGGCCCCTGTGCTTGTGGTGGTGGAGCGTTAGCTTGTCTGAGTGAGCACACTTCCAGCTGCTTCCATCCCAGTGGCAGTGGTCGGGCTTGTCACTTGTGTGCTGCGCAGATGTGCCTGCAGGGGAGAATTCTTGCTGTAGGTCTGGCCGTAGCCACATAGGTATGCCTGGTGTTGCAGTTCCCAGGCCAGGAGCAGCTGCCATGCTTGGGCGTGGCCTCCAGCAGCTCCAGCGGGGACGCCGGTGCCACCACAAGGACGCCGCGGGCGACTGGGGGTGCCAGGCCCAGGGCTGTGGCGGCGGCGGCCACCGCCTAAGAAACTAAAGACAGGGGCGTGGAGGGGCGGAGCTGGGCGGGGGGCGCCTCATGAAGGCCGGGCTGGGTGTCCCAAACCAGGGCCACGGAAGGGCAGCGGGAAGGAGGCGTGCGGGCCGTAGGGGCTGAGGGGCAGGTGTTGGGGGCGGAATGGGAGGGACCCGGGACCTCGCATGCATGAAGCTGCAGGCCCGGGGCGCCCTAGTGTTTGAGAGGACGCGCAATGCATACCTGAACCTGGGTGCGCAGCCGCAGCTGCCGCCATCTGCTTCAGGGTGCTGGGCTTTGACCAGGTGGCTGGGCAGCGCCAGTTGAAAGCGGTTGAGCAGGCAGGGCGCAGTGGCTCACGCCTGTAATCCCAGCACTTTGGGAGACCAAGGCGGGCCGATCACGGGGTCAGGAGATGGAGACCATCCTGGCTAACACGGTGAAACCGCGTCTCTACTAAACATACAAAAAAAAAAAAAAGTAGCCGGGCGTGGTGGCGGACGCCTGTAGTCCCAGCACTTTGGAAGGCTGAGGCGGGCGGATCACGAGGTCAGGAGATGGAGAACATCCTGGCTAACAGGTGAAACCCCATCTCTACTAAAAGTACAAAAACCAATTAGCCGGGTGCGGTGGCGGGCGCCTGTAGTCCCAGCTACTCCGGAGGCTGAGGCAGGAGAATGGCGTGAACCCAGGAGATGGAGCTTGCAGTGAGCCGAGATCGCGCCACTGCACTCTAGCCTGGGCAACCCAAGGAGACTCCATCTCAAAAGAACAACAACAACAAAAACCAGCTGAGCAGCGCCGGCCATGTGGCAGTGGGTCCAGCTCCAGGGCGCCCTAGGGCAGCGGTGTGCAGTGTTCGGGTAATAGGACGCAGACGGCGGGGTCGCCGGGGGCTTCGGGGTGGCCTCGGCCCCAGGCCATCCAGCCCTGTGGACCGAATGGAGTCCCGCACGCTGTTGAGGTAGTCGTGGGTTCCCCTGGCCTCGGGCTGGGCGCGGGGTCAGCGCACCTGCAGGCGGCGCTTGCGGTACGGGCTGGTGAAAGTGGAGATGGACGGCAGGATGGATTCACTTGGCCACATGGCGCGAAGCTGGGAAGACGGACACCGGTGAGTGGCTGCCCGGGAGGGCTGGTCGGGGCGCGGACAGGCGGGCATGGTTCTGCCAAGGATTTTGCTTTATTTATCGCAAGATGGGGTATTTCCTCCTTTCTTCAGTTTATAATTGCATGAATTAGTGCAGTGAATTGAGGATGCAGTAAAAATATCTTCAAAGATTATTAAATTCGTTATTATAAAACACATAGAAGAGTTTATGTGTGTATATGGAAAGCAGGTATACATCAATAATTCTTAATGAATACAAGAAAGAACTACCAATATTGGGGCAAATTTTTCAAATACAAACATCAGTGAATATAGGCAAGGCCTTTTCTTTTTTATTATTCTATTTTAAGTTCTAGGGTACATGTGCACAACGTGCAGGTTTGTTACATAGGTAGACATGTGCCGGCAACGCCTTTTCAATAATGTCTTACAAGGAGAAACGTGGCTCCTCTAGGTGAGCAGCCCTCAGTGCGCATCTCCCTGAAGTCCACATTGATCCGGCAGAGCTGTGGGGTTCACAGCTCACACTGAGGCATTCAGGGCCTAAACCCCACTTTACTCTTTTGTACAATGAATGGGAAATCAGTGATCTAAATGAGTTTAAATCTTATTAGGGATTCAGACTGCCCTTCAGACTCTGTCTCTATTCCTACCAGAGCTGGGTTCAACATGAATTCAAATAGAAATATGAGACAATGAATTATGGTAGTGACAAAGACCTTCCTTCGAATTCCGGATTTTTCTAGCAGCCCCTTTCTTTCTGCTTCCCACCTGCCTTCAACTCTTTCTCCTAAAAAAGTTCAGTTGGGGTGAAGTTTGGTGACTTAGAACATCATTATTTTAACGTGATCCCAAAGCGGTTTTCATTATATGCAAAGCTGTATATTTATTTACATTTTAAAAAATGTTCTAAATTGGTTTCTTATGTCCAAAAGAAGGGGAGCTAGTTATAAGAAAAGAGAATTGAGTAACATAAGAAAGTGCTAATCATTTCAAATTAAAGTGGGAAACATGCAAAGCAGAAAGAATGAATTTCATAAACTCAACAAATTATTAACATAAATAAGTCCAAACTCTTGTATCTATATAACATCAGTGATCTGTGAGGTGAAATGAGATTCTGAAGAAAAAGTAAATAATAAGGCCATTTTTCTAAGCCAAAAAAGTTTTTGTCATTAATTGTGGAATTTCACAAATTAATTTTTGTTCAAATAAAACTTTCTTAAACTTTTAGTGCTTACTATTGCTTGTAGGTTAGTAAACCCTAGCAGAAAACAAAATCATTAAGGAAATGGAAAACAAACATTAATGGGGAATTTGTGTAACCTTAATTCTTAACGTGTCTTATGAGTTAATTTTTTAAATGTGAAGGTTTATTCTTGGTGTTTGGTAATTAACTAAGTTTATTAATCTCTCAAAAATATGAGGAATTTTATTCCCTAAAGGAACATGAGGAACACGAGTAGTTCAAGAAAATGCTGAAGATGCGCTTGGCTGGGAAGCTAGGGTAGGCTGACGAAGTCAGACTTAGTGTGGGAACCTGTTAAGCAGTGGATCGATGTTAGCTGTTTTCACTTATTGCACTAGTATAATCAGTTTGATGATACATACTTTAGCCCCAGCTGTTACTTAAGACCTGGTTTCACATTTTATGTTCTTTTTCCTGTGCAGGCTGGGAAAGGGTTTCTTCTGTCCATAAAAGCTACTCCAATGGCTGTGGGAGACTTAATTCCAATTCCAGGTGATACAGCCGTCAATCTCCCACTAGCTGTAGGATGGTGTGTGTGCTGCAGTTCACAGGTGTGGATGCTCAAGTGGGCTTTCAAAGATGTCATGAGAGGGAGGGTTATTGTATTAGGCACATTTTCCAAATATAGGCATTTCATTGTACAAGACCCCAAATGTGAGAGGGTGTTTGTTTCAGTATTTTATAGAGTTCCTAATATGCCATCATATATACATTCAGTTGTTTTCAAAATACAGTTTAGTACTTGGCTACTCACAAAGTAATAAAACATTTAAATCACTTAACCATACAATTCTTGATAACCAAAAGGCTTTTCTTTCTACTCAGTAGTTTAACATTCAGCTTTCTTTTTTAGGGCAAAGGAGATAGAAGTGGATGAAATGAGAGAATTTTCTTTAATTGAACTCTGGTTAATGCCAAAAGTGTTCAATCACTATGTGTGGGGAAGTTTCCTGGTACAAAGGAAAAAAAAACAGGTTGTTCATACATTTGGCTGTGTTAGTATGTGGTAAACAGAATTAAATTTTTTTATGTGAACTCGTACATCTGTGCTTCATAATATGTCACTCCTATTTAACATCTCTTTCACACACACACATCCCCCCACCTCCGCACACACCCTTTTGCTAGTCTTCTTCCATTTTGCTTATTAACCCAAAGAAAGAAAAAAATACAGAAGCCTTCTTGCATAGGTTGCTTTAATCAGATGAATTATTGAAGCCACTCTGTCTAAATATTATTTTCCCTTATTTTTCTTTCATTAGTTTTTCATTCAGTTGTATTTATTTAATTTTTATTTCATTTTCCAGACCTAAGTCAGTGTTAGTCTACCACTGTACATCTGGTAACCTCAATCCCTGCAACCGGGGCAAAATGGGTAAGTACTTTAGCCATGTAACTGCATAATTACTAGTGTCTGACACAGAGAAGAAATAGACAGTGTGTCATGGAGATTAGAGCCTACATGGGGAGGAGGACAAAAAGTAAGCAAAGAGACAAAATAATGAGAAATTGTAAATGTGTGGTAGTTAACTAGAATGTACTGTGGTTACCAAGGAAAGGAGTCATTGGGAACACATACATGATTGTAAGCAGTAGGGGGTCCATTGGCTATAGAGATTTTAAAAAACAATGATGAAATAAAGCAAAAGTTGGCAGTTATAAAGAATCTCAGTGATAAAATACTGAAATACTCCTCCCTGCTGGGGCAGTGGGTCCTATACACACCCCTTCCCTTCTTGATATGTCACTGAGAATGCGACGTGATCAATGACCAATGAGATTTAGGAAAGTCGGGTGATATTATTCCTTCCTTATTGAGTGTGTAATAGTGATCACTAATTTATGCAACTTGTTTCTCTTGGGTGTGCATTAACTACTCTACTAGTGATTTGTAAAAGTGAATAGGAATCACTATGGGAGAATAAAAACAACAGCCAGATTCCTTGGACCCTGTGACCAAGGTCTTGGGTGATGCTGAGAAAACTATATTTTTAATAAGCATCTAGATGTTTCTTGATGCTTGTGGAAATGGTCTTTGAGAAACCCTGTACTATACAAATGATTAATTTGTCTGAATGTAAGGGATTTAATCTGATCAATGTACAAAAACCATGGAAATCAATTTGAGTACAACTTAAACATCTAATGATGGTAGAAGATAAAAGTAGGGAGTTTTGCTATTCTGTAGAATTTCTTAGTACCTACTAACTAACGCACCCCTTCTATCCCTGTTACATAGGTACCACTAGCTCTTCATATTCCAATGGTAAGCCATGGTACCACACTGAGAGTTCTATTGCAGGGCAGCTGGACACTGTGGCTCATTTATATATTGTGGGTTTGAATTGAAAAATGCTTTTCCACAATGAAAAATACCTGGCCTGCATGTTTCCTCTACCTCTCTCACACCTATAGCAAACACTGCGGGCTGATACGACATTGGTTATCCCTGTGCCAAGGCTCTGTTCTAGATTCCCTTCTAACACAGCATTTCTGGAAGCTATTACTATTAATTTGATGTTGCATTCAAATTAAACTCATTTGTGTTTCCTATTGGGGACTCTTCAGAGGGATAAAAATGCTTCCTACTAGGAGCAGTAGCCATGTTAACAGGAGGTTGAGCATATATAGTCTCAGGTGATATTACAAGGAGTGATAGACAGCTGGGTGGGTGAACATAGGCTATCTCTCCATTGAATTGTCTCCTTTAGTGTCCCTTAAGAAGAGTTTTTAATCTCCTGCATATAGATCTTAAGCATCTTTTATCAGATTTATACCTAGGGCCTAGGTAATTGATGCTTTTTTTTTTTAACTAATTTAAATGTCTTTTGTAAAAATACATTTTCTAATTGTTTGTGGATGATGTCAAATGCAATTGATTTTTGTATATTGACCTTATATTCAGCTATCTTGCTAAACTTATTATTGCTAGCAATTGTATAAAAGTTCCTCATAATTTCCTAACATAATCATAATCTGCAAAAATAGCAGTATTATCCCCATTTTTTCAAGCTTTAGGTCTTTATTTTTCTTGTTGATAGCACCATCTCAGCTCACTGCAAGCTCTGTCTCCTGGGTTCACGCCATTCTCCTGCCTCAGCCTCCCGAGTAGCTGGGACTACAGGCACCCACCACCACGCCTGGCTAAATTTTGTATTTTTAGTAGAGACAGGGTTTCACCGTGTTAGCCAGGATGGTCTCGATCTCCTGATCTCATGATCCGCTTGCCTTCGCCTCTCAAAGTGCTGGGATTACAGGAGTGAGCCACTGCGCCCAGCCTTCTTGTTGAACTTCTACTATAATGGTGAATAAAAATGGCAATAGTAGGTATTATTGTCTTGCTGCTCATTTTAAGCGGAAGACTTCAAATATTAAACTCACCTGCCATTTTTAGGATAAACCCAACTTGGTCATACCATGTTATCTTTTTTTATATTTTGTTTAATTCAGTTTGCTAATCATATAGTTCCCTTGTTTTTCTATTATCTGAAAGTGCTTTTGTAATAGTGGAGTAATCTATTCCTCGAAAACTTGGGAAAAGCACCTTTAAATTATCTTGATTTATAATTTTTTGTGAGAAGATTTTTTATTGCTTCAGTGTCTTTAATAGTTAAAGAATTTTGCAGGCTTCATTTTCTGTTGGAATCAGTTTTAGTAAATTATATTTGTCTCTTTTTCTAAGATTTTGTTTGTTCTAAAATGTATTTACATTCTTTTTTATATTAATATTTTTGTCCTAAACTGTATCTGTAATTATGCTTCTTTTTTAATTCATAATATTTGTGTGTCTTCTCTTTTCTTCTCAGCTAGTCTCCAAAGGGTTTATTTTATTTCTTTTTTTGAAAGAACCAACTTCTTCAGGCTTTATTGACTTTTTTCTTTGTTCTTTCTTTCTTTCTTTTTTTTTTTTTTTTGAGATGGAGTCTCGCTCTTGTTGCCCAGGCTGGAGTACAATGGCATTTTCTTGGCTCACCACGACCTCGGCCTCCTGGGTTGAAGCAGTTCTCCTGCCTCAGCCTCCTGAGTAGAGTAGCTGGGATTACAGACATGCGCCACCACACCTGGCTAATTTTGTATTTTTAGTAGAGATGGGGTTTCTCCACGTTGGTCAGGCTGGTCTTGAACTCCCGACCTCAGGTGATCCACCCACCTTGGCCTCCAAAAGTGCTGGGATTATAGGCATGAGCCACCGCGCCCAGCCTATTGACTCTTTATTATGCTGCTTGCTTTTCTATTGCATAGATGTATTGCCTTATCTCTTTTTTCCCCTTCCTCCTGCTTTCTTTGATTATGTTTTTCTTCTCTTTAACTTAGAAATATAGCCCATGAATATTTGGCTTGTCTAATACATCATTTATGGCTTCATATTTCCCTCAAGTGCCACTTTGGCTGTATCCCACACATTTTGTTGTATAATGTTTATGTTATCATTACTCTCTAATCCTTCAACATTTTTCATTTGAATTTCTTCTTTGACCTATGAGGATGTAGAGTGCAGTTTCCAATTGCCAAATTACATTTTCTACATGTGCATGAGTTTCTCCTTGTCCCTCACATCAGACAGACATTAGCTTAATGGTTAAAAGTCTTGGGCTTTGAGATCTAATAGACTTGGATTCAAATCATAGCTCATTCACTCACTCCTGTATTTATTAAATAGACATTATTCTTGGTGCTGAGGATATATCACTAAACAGAAATCCATGCTCACATAGATGTTATATGCTGATATGCGTCCCACCATTTAGTAGACTCCACTCTTATTGTATCAGTTGGAAAAAGTCTCTCAGTTTCTCCCTGTAGATGAATTTTTTTATCTGTCAGTGAGAATAATAATTATTCTATTCTAGGGAGCTCTTGGGAGAACGTAGTGAGATAAAGTGCTTAGTACAGTGGTTAGAACAGTGAACATTTTAGTAAATGCTTGCTATTACCATATGGACAGCTTTCTCAGAAAGCCTTTCCAAACCTAGCCCCACCCCTCCCCTTCCTGGCACCCAGACAGAGCTAGATGCTTCTTTTGTATTCCTCCAGAGCATATTGTACTGGCCTCTAGCAGAATACTCAGGCAAAATATTGTAATCATGAATTGTCCACATCTCCCACCAGACTGCCAGTTCTTTAAAGACAAAGAATATATCATATGTAATTTTTTTTACCTCAGCATCTACCACAGTGCCTGGCAAGTGTTAAATGCTAAATAAATATATTTGAAATGACTAAAGGAAGGATTGATACAGATTTAGGAAAAGGAAAGTAAGTGTATGTTGCTGAGATATCTATTGATTCGTTTAGTCAAAAAATGTTTATTAGGCACTGATTACCTTCAGCCACTTTTCAAGGTACTGTATAGGTTCAAACAAAACAGACAAAATTTTGTTATGATACTTAAATCTTAGAAAGGAGAAATATACATCAGATATGGTTGAGTGATTGCAGAAAAATAAAACAGATTAAAGAAGTAAACAGTATTGTGGGAAGGCTGCTATTTAATATGTGATGGCCAAAGAAAGTCTCTCTGATAAGGTGTCATCTTAGTAGAGACCTGAAAGAAGTGAGAGGGCAAATCAGAGGGACACATGGATGAAATATTCCAAGTTGAAGAAATAGCAAGTGCTGAAGTTCTTTAATCATATTCAAGGACAGCAAGGAGGCCAGTATGGCTGCAGCAGAAGCACCGAGAGGGAGAGCGGTAAGGGGTGAAGTCAGAGTGGTGGGCAGAGAGAGTGAGGATGCAGAGAGTGCAAGCCCTTGCAGACCATGGCTTTGCCTCTAAATGAGAAGAGATTCCGCTGAAGGGCTCTGAATGGGGACGTTCCTGTAATACACTCTGAGTTACATTTTACAAGAATCCCTCTGGCTGCTACATGGAGGTCCGACTAGGGTTACAGGGGTAGTGGCAGAGACCACTTAGGACAGTATTGCAACATTCCAGGCTACAGTAGTGGTTTGGATCAGAGAGATAGCAGGTGGTAATTATGATTCTGGGTATTTTTCAAACAGAGCTGATAGATTTTGTTCAATTGTGTGTGGGTTGTTAAAGAAAGAGAAGAATCAAGGATAACCCCAAAGTTTTTGGCTGAACTACTAAACAAATTGAATTAGCATTTGGTTAGAGGTAGAAGACTGGTGAAATAGCAAGTTTGTGTATGTATTGGGAGGGGGGTGGTTAGCAGTGGGTGTATCAGGAGGCCCATTTTAGAGCTGTTAAATGTGAATGTCTCTTACACCTCCAGGTGGAAATGTTGAATAAGTATATGGATATATAGATCAGAACATCAGTGTTGAGATCAGAATCTCTTATGCTATCAACCTGTACATAACTTTCTTATTTACCACCATCTTTTTAAAGTATAAATCCCTATGGACCAGATGATTCTTGAGAATCTTCTCTGAAGAGGAGTTATATTTTTCAGATAGATTTTTAGATTTTAAAAAAATGCCAGTTTTTTTAAGTAGGGCAATAATCGTATTACTATAATAACTGACATCATAATTGAATAATGAGCTTAGGCATATGCTTTGCAAAAACCTACATACCTTAAATAAAATTGAATTCAAATGAGTATCTTTTCGAAAGAACTGCTGAATTCACAAATGTATGTAAACAGTTCTTAGTTCAGCTTAATCTAAGTATTAATATAAAAACACTACTATGGATAAAACCCTGGATACCAGAGTGGACAGTTGAGTCTTACATATTCCCAGAGAAATATTTAAAGTAAGCTAACACAAGAAAATCTTGCCTTTAGAATTTTTAAGTTAAACTTTTAATAAAGATTCAAATAAAATATTAAGAAACTTTCTAAATGGTTCTGACAGTAATGGTCCAGCCAGGGAAATAAAGTTTCTAGCCTCTTTCTTGGGGCTTTCAGAATAGACTAGATAACCTTAGAATTAAATGTGGATTTATGTTTTTCTGAACAGTACCCCCTTTTATTGACTACATGTTTCCCCAAGAATTTGTTTTAGAGTAGATGTTTCAAATAAAGGGTCCAATTCTTAACCCATTCACATTGTCTCATTTTGCAGATAACCACTTGCCTAGCATAAAAATCTTTACGTTGTTCTCAGAAATTGATTCTTGACTCTACACAGCAAATCCTTCGTCTTTATTGCTGTGACCCATTATAAATACCTTCCACTATGATGGGCTTATATTCTCCTATTCTCCTCTAGCACTTACTCTCTTTTTTCCCCCAGGTTTCCAGGTCTTGGCAACCTTTGAAATTCCAATTCCATTTGAGAGAGCTTTGACGAGGCCATATGCTGATTTCACCACCAGCAACTTCAGAACCCAGTACTGGAATGCCATCAGCCAGCAGGCCCCTGCCATCATCTATGACTTCTATCTGTGGCTCACTGGAAGGAAACCCAGGTGAGAAGCTGAGTCAATGGCTTTGAGAATGTCACTGCATATGGGAGATTGAGGCCCCAAAGTCTTTAGGGCTTCCTTCAGCCAAAGATTAAAGGAGACAACTGAATCTGACCCATATATACAGATTGAACACACCTACTCTGAAAATCCAAAATCTGAAATTCTCCAAAATCCAAAAGTTTTGAGTGCTGACATGATGCCACAAGTGGAAAATTCCGCACATCTTACCTCATGTGATGGGTCACAGTCAAAACACATTCAAAACTTTGTTTCATGCATAAAATTATTTAAAATATTGTATAAGATTACCTTCAGGTTATGTGTATGTGGCTAAGTGTGTATGAAGCATAAGTGAATTTTGTGTTTAGACATGGCTCCCATTCCCAAGATACCTCATTGCATTGAAGCAAATATTCCAAAATCTGAAAACAGTTGAAACCCAACACACTTCTGACCCAAGCATTTCAGATAAAGGATACTCAACCTGTATAAGTTTTGAACAAACAAAGCAGTCATAGTGAGAAGCCACAGAAGCCTCCTACATTAAAAATGCTCCAGCATAATAAAGGAAGGTAAATGTTAAAGCGCCTGCTTGGTGAATTCAGCAAGTGATCATTCACGCAAAAAGAAAAGCAACTGAGACTCTGTCACTAGGGTTTTTCAAATAGGTAAAGAATCTTAAATATCCAGTAATGATGACAGCCTCACTTACTGGGAGCTTACTCGTGGGGCTAAGGAGGATGCATGATGATCCCATTTTTATTGTCACAGCTACCGAAGGAAGATACCCTCATCAACCCAATTTTACAAATGGAGAAATAGAAGTTAAGGGAAGAATCTGAAGTAGTCTCAAAGGCAGTGACAGGAAGGATGTGGAGAAAGCTGAGTGTCAAAGTCAGTATTCAGGACCGGCTTTACTGCTACTTAGAGATGAATGAAGAAATCAGAGGGAACGCAGTGTGCTGATGCTAAAGCAGCTGTCACCACCCAGCTGTGTGACATAGGACATATTCTTTCTCTGTCTCACTTGACTAATATGATATGTCAGAGGAGACATGATTGTAATTGCCTAAAGCAATTCTTGTGATCAAGACTCAGAAGCACGAACAGTATTGCCCTCTGTGTTAGCCCCTTTATAAGGGAGGATATCATCTTCAGCATGCTGAATTGTCATCTTTCTTAGCAGTGCAAATGACTAAAACTTAGCCAATGTAGAGTTTGTCCAAATTTGGAGCTCATAACTCAGTTCTTGAGCAAAGTGAAAAGAAAACATTGTGATTATGGGGAAAATATTTGACGGGACTTATCAAATAAAGATAGGAAAAGAAGAAAACCCAAATATTATAGGCAGAAATGCTAAAGGTTTTAAAATATGTCAGGATTGGAAGAAGGCATGGATAAAGAACAAAGTTCAGTTAGGAAAGAGAAACACAGAAGGAAGAGACACAATAAAAGTCATTATGTATTCTGTGAGAAGTCAGTAAGATTTGTTGGAAGTGGGTTGGTTTGTTGTATGGTATGTATTTTAGCAATAATCTTTATGGCAGAGAAAGCTAAAATCCTTTAGCTTGCGTGAATGATCACTTGCTGAATTCTTCGAGGTAGGCATGATGAAGGAGGGTTTAGAGGAGACACAGACACAATGAACTGACCTAGATAGAAAGCCTTAGTATACTCAGCTAGGAATAGTGATTCTGAGGACACACTGTGACATGATTATGCCATTACATGTATGGTAGTGATGGGGATGATAGAAGGAAGAACTTATGGCATATTTTCACCCCCCCAAAAATCAGTTAAATATTGGGACACTAACCATCCAGGTCTAGAAAAGTCACATGCCATAGCCATGGTATTGCACATCATTCATCTTGCATTCTTTGAGAATAAGAAGATCAGTAAATAGTTCAGAAGTGGGAAGCTTTGTCCAGGCCTGTGTGTGAACCCAATATTTTGTTTAGAAATAGAACAAGTAAGTTCATTGCTATAGCATAACACAAAATTTGCATAAGTGGTGGTCAGCAAATCCTTGAATGCTGCTTAATGTGAGAGGTTGGTAAAATCCTTTGTGCAACACTCTAACTCCCTGAATGTTTTGCTGTGCTGGGACCTGTGCATGCCAGGCAAGGCCAAGATGGCTCAAAGAGCAACCAGCCACCTCTGCAGCCTGCCACCTCCTGCTGGCAAGATTTGTTTTTGCATCCTGTGAAGAGCCAAGGAGGCACCAGGGCATAAGTCTACTCACTTATATCTGTCTGGAACATAACGCTTGTTTGTTTTTACAACAAATAAAATTGATCTTGAATAAAAACTGAGTGGTCATTGTCATTAATCTTTGAAGCCAGATTAACCTTTTGGTCATGCCTAGTCTAAGAGAAAAGAGATACTCTTATCAATAAATACAGAGCCCAGCTATGTCAGTGAAGATCTCAAGTGCATAGAAAGTAGTATAGGGAAGAGTCAGAGGCCAAAAAGACAGTGATGGCAGACATTGAACAGAGGAGAGTGTGGTGTTTGCCTTTGCATCAACTGAGATTATGGAAGAACACCTGAGGCTTGCGGAGAGCACCTACAAGATACCATAAGAACACCTATGAAGTGAGAAAAATTGAATTACTGTTGTTCTTGTGGTTACGATTGTATTTATGGTTGTTACTTCATTCATATTAATCACCTATGTGCCCAAGTGTAATCATGAAGTTAGGTTTTTCCCAGATTTTTTTATTAGACTCAAGAATTCCCATAGACAAAGGCAATATCACTATCCTTTTTATACATTTCTTCTCTCAGTTCTGCAGAGCCAGAATGTAGAGTCCAATCTTTTAGATAGGTTATGCAATAAAGGCTGACTTGGATTATCTAACTGGTACATGAGGCCCCGTGTGGTAGTTTACTCCAGAGGAAATTGGCACCTGTATATAATTGTAGTTAAGTCGATCCCTTGATATCAGAAAAGTTTCTGCTATGCAGTCCTTTTTGATGATTTAATAATATACATCCTCATTTTAGACAGTACCAGTGGCCATAGATGTACTTGGCAGCAGAGTATTACAGATGGTAAAGCTTGAATCTGCGTTTTAGTAGCAAGAGCATTTGGAGTCTTGTGCTTCCCTTGTAGACATCTTCTTCACATCTACAGCCTATCTTTCGTCTACTGTTGTTACTGCTACTAGTTCCATAGACATTCTAATTTTCACTTGGGATATACATTTTTGTTATTTGTAAGCTCCCCCTTTTTCATTTTTTCACCCCCTTTCAGACTGTTCTAAAATCAGAAAGGAAATTCTCCTCCTTGAGCATGTATATGTTTTTGGCTCTTGGAACTTGAGATGATGGTGCAAGTAAGTACCAGCACATTTTCCAGATAAGTCATGTGAAGTGATTTATGTTTCATAATATGATCATTTCTGATTGATCTTATCTATTATGACCACCCATAGAGATGGCTGTAAAGAATTAAGAACATCAAACAATGTCAAGTTGTTCATTGCATGTATTTCAGAACATTGCCAAGATAAAGCCAGGTGGAGTCATTAATTTCACCAGCAAGTTATTTCCTTGCTGCAATACCAAAGACTGTAATTTTTGAATTAAAGCCTCTGGTTTTTCTAACTCATCTTTCATTGTTGATCATGGCAAGTGAATAATTAATGAATGTATATGTTTAGGTTATGAGGAATTTAAAACACAACCTAAGACTTGTAATGTTGATTGCTTTTGAATGTTGTAATGGTTTTGAGAGTGTCTGCTTAATTACATACTTGCTTTTCTTAGAAAATCAACTCATTTCATTATTAGTGATTAATTTTCTCTTAAATATTTAACTTCATATTTTAATCACTGTGCCTGGGATTCCATTAGATATTTGAAAAGATCAAGTTTAATGTTTTTACCCAGGTAACATATACAATGGCTCAAGATTTGTGTTCAAACTTTGATCTCACAATTTAAAAAAACACGCATTAAGCACCATGGAAATCCCAACAACTTCAGCAAGAAAGAGTCTTTGTTCCATAGTTTCTTTGCTTGATAAATATGTGCACTAAAATAAATGGAATATCTTAATTCAGTTTTTGCTTCATGAGACTGGTTGAGTGAACTTAGGCCTAGTGCTTTGAAAATTGGCCTGTTGTAGAAGACTGATATTCTAATTGCCTAAAGAGAGTCCATTTCTTATAAGAACACATATATTTTGGAAGATGTGGTATTTCTCAGAAAACTGCTGAAATGAATTATGTATCTTTTCTATCTTTAATTTTATTTCAAAGATCTAAAGCTTTCACTTGAAAATTAGTCTTTTGGAAAAAAAGACATTGAAACTAGTGTTAAATTATATTTCATTGAGGTAATGAATATAAAGATTCATTTGCTGTAATCTCCTTGTGATCTTTTAAAGTAGTTTCTTGTACTTTTAAAAATAACACTATAATGGTCTATATGTGTATCAGTTTTTACAATAATTTGTCTAAACTTTAGCTTATACCGGTGTGCATGAAAAACCAAGTGCAGTCTGAATTAGCACAATGCAAATAGAAAACCGACCTTTTATTTTCCTCACAAAATTATATCTAATATAAACCTTATGTAAATAAAGAATTTTTAAGTGCTTGTAAATTAGTAAGAAAATCATACAAAATGTCAGTGGAGTAGAATAGTTAAGGATTTTATATCACAGTAAAATGCATTTCTAAATTGACAGTATTGTTATAAAACATATTCTTGAATATTGTATGAATTTATCACCACTATTGAAGTCAAAATAAAGATGGATCTCTAAAGTATACAATTTATTTGGGAATCACAGAATTGTAGTTCTGAACAAAACTGAAAACCATGGTGGTCTTCTATATGTGTGAAGGACAAAGAGAAGATTGGGGGTTTACTAGCAAGGGAAATGCTACATATTGTTTTGAAAGAAAGCTCACGGACACTAGAGAAGATTTTGGGAGCTGGTCAAACAAGCCTAATGGGAGACAAATCTTTTGAGACTTCCCAGGAGCCCAACTAGAAAATCCCTTAGTCAATTTTAGGTGAAAAAGACTTAAACTTGAATTTGATTCTGGGGAAGTTTGTCATTTGTTTGGATGCAAAAAGCCTAAAAATATTTAATTAAAGTGGAATTACATATTCTTGAGAGATAATGGTCACTTATTTAACCAGAGTAATAATGGAAAGACTTCAAAAACAAATTCAAAAGTTACATAGTCAAGACAAAAAAAAATACTTAGACCTGTATTAGAGATGACTTAGTTTTTTCAGCTGCTCAAAACCCGAATGAAGACAGCCCAAACCACAAGAAGCTATCTTAAAACATAAAATATCTGCTTGTTAGGTAGAATACTTAGAGAGAGAGAGAAAAAACCTTTTGTAGTATGACCATTTCTCTTGGTATATGCCCTTTTGAGTAAGCTGGAAATTAAACCCCATGAAAAACTACTTTAATTCAATTAGATGCCGGAAGAGTGTGTGTCTAAGGTTATAAGTAAACCATATTATAGAATAATAATACACACACACACACACACACACACACACACACAAGTAGTACCTCCACCAGGGGGAATGGATGGCTTTTAGAAAAAGTAAGAGCATGTGAAGTTTCCTGGTTACATAGAACAATTTGGATACATCAGAAAAAGCCAAGAGTACAGAATTAATCTATACTGGAAAAACGTTTTTCCGGTTTTTTTTGAGACTAACATTCTCAGTGTCAGGTTATAATACCTGAGTGCGAAATGCGGAAAAATGCAATAGGAACTGACCAAAAAAAAAAAAAAAAAAAAGAGAGTCACCACTTTAGTTAAGCAAAAAGATGTACTGTTTTAAGGAGAGAAGAAGAGCATAAGGCATTGAAGTATTAACTGCAAATTACACGTAGTGAGATGCATAAAAAGCCAAAGCCTTGAGATAAAAATCTGAAAAACTTTAAGAGGAAAACTCTACCTCCTGAAACGAAGCGGTCATTTATTTTTCTTTATTGCTGCTTCTAAAAAGAGGATACATGTACAGAATGTGCAGGTTTGTTGTATAGGTATACGTGTGCCATGGTGGTTTGCTGCACCTATTGACCCGTCCTCTAAGTTCCCTCCCCTCACCCCATCCCCCAACAGACCATGGTTTATGTTGTTCCCCTCTCTGTGTCCATGTGTTCTCAATGTTCAACCCCCCCTGAATGAGAACATGCAGTGTCTGGTTTTCTGTTCTTGTGTTAGTTTGCTGAGGATGATGGCTTCCAGTTTCATCCATGTCCCTGCAAAGGACATGCTGTCATTCATTTTTCATGGCTGCATAGCATTCCATGCTGTATATGTAATACATTTTCTTTATCCAGTCTATCATTGATGGGCACTTGGGTTGGTTCCAGTCTTTGCTATTGTAAATTTTGCTGCAATAAGTAGAATGATTTATATTCCTTTGGGTATATACCGAGTAATGGGATTGCAGGGTCAAATGGTATTTCTGGTTTTAGATACTTGGGGAATCACCATGCTGTCTTCCACAATGATTAAACTAATGTATATCCTCACCAACAGTGTAAAAGCATTCCTATTTCTCCACAGCCTCGCCAGCATGTATTGTATCCTGACTCTTTTAAATAATCACCATTCTGACTGGCATGAGATGGTCTCTCATTGTGGTTTTGATTTGCATTTATCTGATGATAAGTAATGTTGAGCTTTCTTTCATATGTTTGTTGGCCAACTTCTTCTGGGAAGTGTCTGTTCATATCCTTTGCCCACTTTTTAATGATATTATTGCTCATATTAACTTTGAAATGACTGAAAATTCAAAATAAAGACAAAGATAAAATTATATTTTTTAAGTTATAGGTATGAAGTATCTTTGAAAGGAAAGAAATTTCTAGATTATATGTATATGTATGTGTATATATTTATATGTATATGTGTGTATATGTATGTGTGTATATATAATATGTAGATACTGTTTTCAACAAAAAAATTATTAGAGTCAAAATAGTACCATCTCCAGATGTTTTTATTTAGCTTGGTATCTAAAATCATTTTAGGTGACTCATTCCCATGTGTGGAAAATTATTAAAATTTGTTGTCTACATCTGTGGTATTCAGTATAGTAGCTGCTAGCTACTTAACTTTTAATCAGTTATAATTAAACGAAATTTAAAATTCATTTCTTGCATCATACTAGCTACATTTCAAATGCTCAATAGACACACTTGCCTAGTGGCTACTTTATTGGACAGGGCAGGTATAGAATATTTCCATTATCACAGAATATTTAACCAGACAGCATTGATCTAAATGGTTTTTTTTTTTTTTAACTGGAGTGCAGTGGTGCAGTCTCAGCTCATTGCAACCTCTGTCTCCAAGGTTCAAGCAATTTTCTGCCTCAGCCTTCCAAGTAGCTGGGATTATAGGTGCCCACCACCACATCTCGCTAATTTTTTTATTTTTGGTAGAGACAGGGTTTCACCATCTTGGCCAGGCTGGTCTTGAACTCCTGACCTCATGATCCAACAGCCTTGGCCTCCCAAAGTGCTGGGATTACAGGCATGAGCCAGTGCGCCAGGGCAAGTATCTTGTAGAGAAAGTTTATATTATGATTCAGATTTCCATGTTGCCCATCTTTTTTATTAATCTTATAGACACTTATTGGAGCGCTTATTATGTCTTAAGTGCATGAGAAGTGCAAAGAGTGTAAAGACAAAAATGATGTAGCCAAATCAAGTGGTGGAGACAGACATTTAAAACATAATTGCAACCCAACATGAATTCTCCAGGGAGAGGAGAGCAAAGGACAATGAAGGCAGAAAGAATCACGCTTGCAAATCCATGAACGGTGTGGTGTGTTTGGGAAACTCTGGGTAATTTATTTGGCCCTAGACAAGTAAAAACAAGGACTAGAAACGTATGCTGAGGCCAGATCTTGAAAGATTTCAAATAACTGCAGTCAGGTTACACTCCATTGAATGAAAACCCAGTTGAAACTGGTTTAAAACACAAATGTGGTGTATTGATGTACAATGGAAAAAATCCAGCACTAGAGTGGTGAGCAGCTGTGATTCAACTAGAGCTCTGGCTGCCTTGGTCTTTGTGAGTCTCAACTCTGCCACTTTGTTCTGGTTTTATCTTCATGATGAATAAGATGTTTGCTGTAGCTTCAAGCTTTACACACATACATGGCAATGACTGGATGAAGAGAGGCTGGCCCTCTCCAAGATTTTCTCCCAAGATTGATGAAACTTGTTTTCTAAAAACCCTCAGCAAATTTCCCTCCCATCGCATCAGCCTAGTTAAGGTTACCTGTCCATTTCTGGCCAGCCCCTGTGGCCTGAGATTATGCCATGTACTAGTTTGTTGAGAAACCTCAGATGTAAGCCAATCACTGTCTAGAGTGTAAGAGCGCATGGAGATCAATCAGCTTTTCTCTGAAGCTGGGGTGAGATTATGTGTTTCTGAGGCAAGGTGGCTACTGGAGAAGGGCGAATACCTGCGTGATAATTCAGAACTCATCAAGAGATAGAAGACTGGGTGTTAGGGGGTTAGCATTCTGAGTGGAGCATGGTTTCTGGAGTCAGAGAGACCTGAGTTGGTGTCCTTTATCCACCAGTGGGTGGTGTAACTTTATGTAACTGAGCCTCAGTTTCCAAGTGGAGATTATAATGGTCATTGTCTTTCATACCGTTGTGAGATGTAAAGGGGTTAACACAGGAAAGGCACTTAGAATAGTGCCTGAACCACAGTAAGCGCTCAGCAAATATTAGCTTTAAATTCATACTCAAATATGGGAGGCAGTTTGAACTTTATCTTTTAGAGTCTGACACTCCCATTGAAGGTCTTTTGTATCTTGACAGCTGGAAGATTTCCTACTACTTAAATAATAATAAAAAATTAGAACTCAAGTGATGCTGATGAGGATAGGAAATGTGAATTATTTGAGTAGTTGGGACATAAATCACATGGCCCGCAAAGCTGAGAATATTATCTGGCCCTTTACAGAAGTTTGCCAACTCCTGAAATAGAGGACCAGAAAAATGTCTTCTGATACAAAACACCTAAACATGTTAAGCCTGGTGCAGTGGCTCACCCCTGTAATCCCAGCACTTTGGGAGGCCAAGGTAGCTGAATCCTCCCACCTCAGCCTCCCAAGTAGTTCCATATCAGTCTGGACAACATGGTGAAACCCTGTCTATACTAAAAATACAAAAATTAGCTGAGCATGGTGGCAGTTGCCTGTAATCCCAGCTACTTGGGAGGCTGAGGCAGGAGAATGGTTTGAATCCAGGAGGCAGAGGCTGCAGTGAGCCGAGATCACACCACTGCACTCCAGATTGGGCAACAGAGTGAAACTCTTTCTGGAAAAAAAAAAATGTTTTTATGAAACAGTTTTAATGCGCAGCTGAACTTGTGGCAAAATAAGGAAATTCCTAAGTGTCCTGAAATGACAAGAAAGTACACACCTGCACACAGAGCGAGAGAAGTTGAACAAGCACACACACAAATATGACAAATGTGTATTGAGAGCCAAATACACATCAGGTACATATTGCTCTGTGCCTGGGGAGCAGGGGCAATAAGGTAGAAAATAAAACAGACATGGGATTAACCTCATAGATCTTAAAGTCCAGTGAGGTAGGCAACTTTTACAGGAAATAAATGTATATTAAATATTTTGAAAAGTACTGTGAAGAAAAAGAGCAAGACGCTTTGAAAGAGAGTAACAAGTGACACCTGCTTTAGGATTATGTGCCTTGGAAAGGACTCCAGAAATAGTGCCACTGGAACTCAGGAGTTAAAGTATTCATGGAAATGGGAGAGAGCATTTCTTTTAGGTAGATGCCTAGGCTCTGCCAACTTTGCTTGATTCTATCTGACTCTGTAAGACAAGTTATAGAAGTATAATAATGCCTTTGCTACAAAACCAGAAATGGATAAATACTTTAGAAGAAATTTTCACGTCTCATCAAATGGGCATTTTCATGCTATAGTAATTGTTCCAATTTAAAACATTCATTTATACATATTTTCTTCTTCTTTTGTTTCCTTTTTTTTTTTTTTTTTTTTTTTGAGACAGGTTCTCACTCTGGTTCCCAGATTGGAGTACAGTTTGCAATCAGCTCACTGTAACCTCAAATTCTTGGGTTCAAGGGATTCTCTTGTCTCAGCCTCCTGAGTTGCTGGGAATATAGGCACACACAGCCACAGCTGGCTAGTTTTCATATTTTTTGTAGAGATGGGGTATCACTATCTTGCTTATGCTGGTCTCGAACTTGTGGTCTCAAGCAATCCTCCTGCCTCAGCCTCTTAAAAGTGCTAGGATTACAAGTGTGAGCCACCACACCTGGTTTATACATATTTCAATAGTTTTAATATGACAGCAAAGTCCATTTGAGGCAGAGGACAGACTTTTTTTTAAATTATTGAAACATCTGTCTTGCTCTTATCACCATAGCTGGAGGGCAGTGCATGACCATGGTTCACTGCAGCCTCAACCTCCTGGGCTCATGTGATCCTCCCACCTCAGCCTCCCAAGTAGCTGGGACCACAGGTGTGTGACACCATGCCTGGCTAATTTTTTTTTTTTTTTTTTTTTTTTTTGTAGACATGGTGGTCTCACTACATTGTAGAGGCTAGTCTCGAACTCCTGGTTTTAAGCAATTGGTTAGTCTCGAACTCCTGGTTTTAAGCAATTTTCTGGTCTCAGCCTCACAAAGTGCTGGGATTACAGGTATGAGCCACCACACCTGGCTAGAGAACAGATTTTAATAACAAAAGAAAAGTCCTTTTTATTCTCAGGTTGACTTTAGGAGCCTGTCTAAAGTAAAGGTGGGTAGATGAGACTGATTGCTTACAGAAAGCTAGCTTTGTGTGCTGAACTTGATACTATTAGAGGTTTCTTGAAAGATCTGGGAAAAAAGGTTTAAAATTGCAACTGGAAGATGTTTGCTAGACTAGAAATGGAGAGTCCCAAGCACTCAGGAATTCAGCAAATGGCTGCTGGTTAGGTTTTTGTTTTTATTTTTTGGATTTAAGATACCCTCAAACTCTAGTTATTTCTGAATTGAAGAAGACCAATTGATGGGTATGTTTGTATTAGTAAAATCAAAAAGCTTATTAATTTATATTTCACATTAACAAAACCCATAAAGAAATTATACTTTGCCTTTGTAACCCATATGTCACCTTGGATATCCCTGCCCTTTAATAAAATGTAATTAATGAATTCCCCAAGAATTGTTGAGGATTCTCAGGTGGCTAATTGTTCATGGTCATCTCTGCTGTTGCTGGGGATGGAATCAGTTTTGTTTATGAATCATTTTCATTTCACATGGGCTCCATAACAAGTCGATCCAGACCAGGTAAAGGCCTCGTTCTTCATTTGTCGTAAATTGAGAATCAAACAACAAAAAGAGAGAACACGTGCCTAGGCCTGCCTAAGACTCATAGGACCTGCCTTTACATACCACACATGGACACCCAATCTTTCAATGCGTCATCCTCTACCCTGTTAACTGAAGTTTTCTGTGTTTATTTTTCTCATCTTTTAAATCTTCCATTTACTGTAATTTAGGAGAAAATGAGGTCACTGAGTTTGTTAATTCATTTTGCTGAGTTTAGTACACAAATTCTAGGCAACATTTCACAGACCTGGCTCTTTCATGGTGTAATAAATGTGGGCTTTTGCAAACTGTTTTCCTCTTTTTGGTCTCACAGCTATGTTTTGGATAATTAAAGTTGCTAAAGGTCTAAACAGTCAATAGCAGTTTACTAGTAGGTTTTGTTCTTACATCTGCACTGGGCGGTAGCATAGGGCAGTAGAAAGAACACTGAAGCTCTAGATACTACTATCTCCTCAATCAGAGAAGTAGAGCTTGGTGGAGAGACCATAGCCTAGTTAGCTAACCCATATGAGTCTTGTTTTTATTATGCATAAAGTGGATCTGATAATAATAGCTATTTCACAGGGATTTGCAAAAATCAAATGTAATCCTAAGTATAAAATAATGTTTTATATTGTGCAATATAAATATTAGTTTTGTTATCAGTAACCTCTCATTTCTTTTACCCAGGTATGTTCTTTTGTTCATTATCCCTAAGCAAGACTCTCTACATTGCCTGTATCAGTTTCACACTCTTATCAAGGATGTATACATTCCTACATTTTCTTTCCTACAGTTAGTCATCATTTCATTAGAAAGACATTTAAGTACTCACATTTGTATTATAACATTTAATTTGAAAAAAGCTTTTTGCAAGAAAGGAGAGTATAATCAGGAATTCATCTATAAAGTCCTAGGTTTCAGCAGCCTGTGCCACATGTGTTCACAGTCACTCTCCATTCTGCATGAGTTGTACTAATGTGGGAGCTGAAGGAGATAAACCCCCCAAATCAGTAGCTTAATACAAATGAAATGTGATTGTCAATCACAGTAGTTCTAACTGGTAGAAGGCGTTGCACTCCACAGTCACTCAAGGATCCATGCTGATGGAAGGTTGCCATCTTCTGCACGTGGCTTCTAAGTCATCCATCTCTCTGGATGACAATATCCAGCTGCCAATGGGGTAAAAGGGGCACTGACATCATGTGGAAGGATTTTATGGTCCAGGTCCAGCAGTGCCCATCACATCTGTCCATATTCCATCCTCAGAAGTGTTACTGGGCTACATCTATATATGAGGATGGCTGGAAAATACATAGCTGTGTGCCCAGGAGGAAAGGAAAATAGGATTATTGAACAACTAATGAGGTTCTGCCATGGCCTTCTTTTTAGGTCACCAAATACCTGCCTTCCTGTCTTTCCCACACATACAAGACACTCATTCCTACCCAAGGGTCTCATACCATTATTGCATCCAGTTCAAATTCCAAGGTCCAAAGTCCAAAGGGGAATAGACTGTACTCTGTATCAGATTCTGATATGTCAGCTTCTGGTTTGGCATTCTTGAATAAAAAGGCCAATTTTCTGCCTCCCATGTAGAGGTAAAAAATATCTCTGTTCTACCTCTTGTCATGGTAGAACAGTGAAAACACCACCATAATTGAAGAAAAAAATAAAATTAAACAAACCTGCTATGCAAGAAAGAGAAGACAGGCAAGCAGCAGTCCCTAGAGTATAACCATAAGGAAATCATGAGTAGCAAGTAGTGAGAAGCTCCCTACACAGGGCATGGGGAAATTCCTTAAATAGCCTCTGAATCTGCTCTCTGGGAGGAACCCTCTTTTCCATCATTTTTGGTGGTGGCTCCATCCTCTGGAAGGTTCTTTTTTCTTATTCCCTGGCTGTCACCCCTGAACTGGCTGTTAAGGAGTGTGCTTTTCTTGAGGTCTTTGGCTTTATAACTCATTCTGCAAGAGTAAAGGCGAAAACCAATGGGTGTTTTATGCCGATCTGTCCCGCAGACTGGCCAAGTGATGAATGAAAGGAGTTCGCTGACACAGGTATTTTTCCTGACAGTGTGGCTAGGGGACTGCACCACTCAGTGCTGCCGATGAGAGAGTGCAGCAGCCGAAAGGAGTGCAGCTTCCCTAAGCTGGCCCCACTTGCATTTATTTAGTACAGATTTAATGACAAGGGCTTGGAGCAAACACAATTTGTGGGTAATTAACATTGTCAACCCCCCAAGTAGAGAGCAGTCCTGCACATGAATGATCAAAGGTTGGTTTCCAGAGATATGAGTAGAACAATTTATCTAGATAAGTTTCTTTACATTCCCTTGTTATCTAACCCTTGCTCTTAAGAGAATTTAACTGCCTTCAGCTAAATTCTCTTTTGAAGCTTTTGCAAAACCTCCCGTTCTTCCAAGAAGGTTTGTGTCTTTCCCTATAACCTTTTCTTACAACTTTTCCCACCACACTGACCAAACTCCTACAGTTTTAGGTTTAAGGTCAGTCATTTGCTGGCTCTGGGGCTGTGGAAGAAAAAATAAATCTGTCAGTTCATGAACACAGTGTGACAGCTTGGCATAAGTAAAAGACATGAACAAAAGGATTAATGAAGGAGTGAAAGAAGGAAGGCATGTGCATTAGGTACAACATCATCTAAAAACTAAAAAAACTGCAGTGCATTAAACTCATTCATTCAACAAGTATTGGTTGAGTGCCTACTAAGTGTCAAGTGCTGGGCCCAATGTGGGGGATTCAGTGGAGGATACAGTGGCAACACATGGAAAGTAAAGGCAGTGAAAAGGCCGTGGATTTAAAAATTAAAGGAAAAAAAGGGGTAATACATTTGTTACTGGTTTTAGCAAATCGAAAAAATGTGAGAAAATAGTGCAGTGTTTGCCAAATCTACAGCTCTTGCACCCTCACTGAGTCTCAAATTAAGAATGCACAAAAGCAGAATTACTAGGAAATCAAAGTTTTATGGGTGTATTCCCTTAAGTAATAGCACTATACTGCAAAATTGGTGGAGGTCGTCTGCACATTTGAAATAACCAACCTACACCTTTACCCCCTCCCCCAGATTCTAACCAAATAAAGTATGAAATAAGGCAGAACTCACCATACTACACCAACTTACCAGGAATGAAGTTGATGCTGATTGGAGAAGTGTCAAGCAATAAAGAAGAGTTTGGATTTATCTTTAACATTGTCTTCATGTCACTCGAGACTTTAATCTCAGCCAAATCTACTTCCAAAACCAATCTCTTGTGCAATGATCTTGTCTGGGTCCAGGCCAAGACTTACTTCTATTGCATAGATAATCTCACCCTTCTTGATTTTTACTCTGAAGAACTTTCCTGTCTGGGTTAGTGTTTCCTCTGGTAGGCATCAGATTCTGCAAATATTTATTGTCTCATGTTAATCAAGGACCCCTCTAGATTCTGCTATTTAACTTTAAGTATTTTGACATAAACAGAGTGATTTAAATGCAGTTGGAACTTGTTCCTAAGTAGGGCCTGGTATAGTTTTTAAGCAATATACCTCTCCAGTCACACATAATAATGAATGGATTCTAACTTACGCTAAGTACTACCGTGTTTCTGAAGGTAATAAACCATGTCAGCTCTGTGAGGCTTAGAAATTTTTCTTTAAAGCATAGTAATGAAAAATGTTACCAGTTTTCCTTTGATTACTACTATATTGCCCAGGAAGTGTGATCAAAAGACATCTGTTATATGTATCAAAATTCATACATCTGCTTCATTCATTTCCTTTTATGGTATCACCTCTAACTTCCAGTTTCCCTGCTGTCAGAGAGAAACAATTAAATGGGAGATGCTTTGGACAACAGGATTTTTAAAAATACAGTGGCCACAGAGAATTGGAACTGAAGAATCAGAAGAGAGGATTAATTTTCTTTCTTCTTACTAAGTTTCTTAAGTATTTTCAGAACTCTTAAAGAGACATATCAATAGCGGGGAAAGTATCTGAATTAATGGCAGGATTCTTGAGGACTTTCTCACAAAGATAATTAAGGTGGCACTCTAAGAAAACAACCAGAGACATCACAAATAATGTATAGATATTTTTATTGTAGTATTACTTATGGTAAACTTGGATCCAATTTGAATGTTCCACAATAGAGGAGTGATTAAATAAACAACAATACATACAAGTGTTAGAAAAGTATTCAGGCATTAAAAATCATGTTTTATCAAATAGTAAATGACACAAAAAGGCTTGTAATATATTCAATGCAAAACCATATTCAGTATAATCTCAACTCTTAGCCCTAAATGTTGATATGATCTTGGATTAATTTTTTTTTTTACATTTTCAAATTTTCAAATTAGAAGTATGATTATTCTACTTCTATGGTGTGGAAAAAATTACCCTCTGTAAAAGTGAATAAATAAGAACAGTCATCTTCTACTTTCCACGTTTTCCAAATACAATGAACACATTACACTTTTACAGTGGAAGAAAAGAAACACCTATCTTTTAAAATAGTAAATAAATCAGAATAAGAAATTCATCATGAATTTATAAAATTATGTCATCAAGTATAAGTTCAGTTCATGTTTAGTTTTGAAACTTTATCAAAATTAAATAGTTTGACTTATTTTTATTAGAAATACGATTCTAAGTATTCAACATTGCTTTTTAAAAAATTATCTTCTAGTTTTTCTCAAAATCTGAGGAGCTGCTACGGAAAGCACACCAGATCTCATGTGTTGAAACGTGAACATGCTCACCACAGACCAAGGACGTTCAACCTGTCAATCCCCAGGATTTCCAAGCCAGGGGTTTCATCTCTTACTTGTGGAAAATTTGTTCATTTGATTATGAACCAATCAGCTTTTCATTGTGTCAAAATCAAATCTAGATAGTGAAACTGATATTTTATCTTTATTGTTATCTTAAATATATCTTGGCTTAAAGAGACATAAGTGGCTCTTCCCCACTATACCAGATAACAAGTTGCAAATAAATCATTCAGTAGTAAAGTTCAAAGAAAGCTTGAAAGCATTTTGAATTTCCTAGTGTCTTACAGATTTGTTTCTTTTTACAACAACCATGTCCCATGTATATCTGTTTAGGACCTTAAGTTGTTAATAATGTACTCTGAATAGTTCCTTAAGAAAACATTAAAAGGACAATGTCCATACCTGGGAAATAAAACCCAAAGTAGTAGGAATTATATTAAAAATCATGTAGTTAATTAAGAATGATTGTGAGCTTAGACACTGAAAAATATGTCACTGAAAGAATACCAAAAATGTCAGCCTTTTCCTCTTAAGTTATAGAAAGGTATATAATATAAGTACTTAGTACATAAGAGAAGAGTTAGAATGAGATTGTACCAGGTTCAGAATTCCTCATCCGAGAAGACCAGACAAAATTCAAGATTTTTAGAGAGGGACTCCCTGAATGATGTCACCAGTAAGTGGGTTTATAAACAAAGACAGAGCTTGGCAGGTTGCACTGGATACTTCAAACCAGTTTCTCTGGAAAAATTTGAGTTACTCAATAAACCCTCAGTTTTCCTGAGGTAAATCAACTTTGAAATACAGTGGAGAACTCTGGGTGATAAATCACGCCGTGTTACACACTAGGACTGCAGTTCACAGAACATGATTAGATTTAAGGCAATAGAAGATAGGAACATTTTTTGAACTAGTTTATTGAATCCTTTTGAGAATATCACTGTTTGGAAGTTCCTAGAAAGCTTAGACAAATTAATCTTCAAGAGGCCAACAAATTAACTTTGAACTAAAAAACAAAAACACAACCAAAAACTTTGAATTAGAAAACATCTGCTAAGAAAAGCCCAACAATCTGACATGTTGATTATTACTTTTTAACACTGCAGGAATACAAAGATGATTGTACTATTCAGACCTTTACATATCACACAACAGAAAAATCCTTCAGTTGACTAGTTTCCATAAACTTTGTAGCGTTATGGCAAAACAAGAGTCATCTGTGAAATACACAAATGTTTTGTACTGAGGGATATTTTCACATAACACAGGAGATGATAAATTTAGACCCCCTCAATCTCATCGTCATACTGATTATACTGTAAGCAGTGATTGGGGTGCACACATTGCATGTTTTGAAGGTATGGATGTGGCAATTCTAATGTATCAACATTGTTTCTGAAAAGCTAAGGTTTTGTTATTGAACTACTATTAGAAGTCGAATGTGATCCTCTTCCAATGTCTGGCATTGCCTTCCTGTGGAATTAACATTCTGTGTGATTTAGAGTACGTGTCCCGACTTTCTCAATGCTCATAAATACCTTGTCTGTAGGAAACTTTCTTTAAGGGAAAAGCAGCTTTAGCCTGTCTCCAGTACATGGCCCTGACTTGCTTATACATGTAATCTATTATGAAGGAAAAAGAGCCATCCTCACAAATCTACAAGATTAAAACTCCTAGCACAAACACAGCTTGAATCAGTGCTTCTGTAGCTTCTTTCAGCAAAGGGACCATCGCCAGCACTGTGGCTACAACATATGCCTTGCCATCAGATACAAGAGTTAGGCTTCATATCCACGTCCTGTGCAATAAAAAAGCTTTAAATCTGAATGGAACATCCATAGAACTAGCTCACAGACAACTCAGAAGCAGGAACACTTTGGTCTGTGTTCAAGTAAAATGAAGGTTGAGATTTCTTTATGCAGCAGCAGAAGTAGGATTCTGTATCTCTCTTTGGAGTCAAGTTGGTCTTTGAAAGAAAACCAATTTGCTTTTAAGAGGTTCTAATCTAGCAGGATACCAGATGATGGCAAGTGTGTTTAAACCAAGTATAGACTAAGGGATTGGTACATTGAAAGACTACCTTCTGTTTCAGCCGAGGGTAATTAGAGTGTCAGGAATGCTGTTATTACTACTAAGATCTCCAAGGACCTAGACCAAGAAGTTCCATCCAGCAACACCTTATTACAGTGTACAGAGGTCAACAGAAAGAGGTAAAAGAAAAAGATAATCTTTTATCAGACTTTTACATTACATTGCTAATTTTTATTACAGAATATTTTTCATTCTCTTATTTTGATCCCCTGATATTTATTTCTGATTCTGACTCTGCCTACTGTTATTCACCCTACTTGTTAATTCTAATCTATTCTTTTTATTTGTAAAAGCATAACTTTTCTGAGGCATAGTTGTGGTGTATATGTGTATTTAACCTATTCTAGAAACAGTAGAAAAGATAGTAGAAGAGAAATAGTAGAAGAGATCGAGATTACAGATTATAATAGCATGTAAAGAGTTTTATACAGTTAATACCTGAGAGTCTGCACAGTGGGGAACTCTGAAGTAATATGTAAGGTGTCAAGAACAAGCAGGTCAGGACTGTGGCACTCAAAGGGCAGGTAACTAGCTTTTCAGTAACATTTTTAAGTAACAGTTTCACAGATCCTCAGAGAATGCCAGGCAGTAAAGGACGCATCTCAAAATCCATACAGCAGATTTCTGGTTTCCAAATTTCTGGGAGATAGTACTTAATACGGTATTTGAAACTCTACAATTGCTATGGAAGAGACATTCTGGAGAGTTACGTATTATCCAAAAATAAATTTTTCAGAAACAAGAAATTTTAAAATAAACCAACCAAAAAAGAATGGCCAACCTTTTAAACCTTTTTTTTCCATTAATAAGGAGCTACATAGTCTGCTGGTGAAGAACTTGATAGAAATTGACTGTTTTCAGTTAGTGGGCTGATCCCCTTGTATCTGTGTCAGATAAAATCATAGCACTTATTATTTGTTACCATGGATACCATGAAGATACTGCCATCCACTAAATAGTAGTAGAGGAAGACAACATAATTTTCTGGAACTAGTCCCGTTTTGCCTTCATAAGTTGCCTTTAACCATCCTGGTTCCACTGATGGGCCACGCTGGAAAATATCACTCCTTGTGGGAAGGAAAACTCATGCTGTGCTCTGCTTTACAGGAGTACATGGCTTTGGCTTGGTGCCCAGAAGAAACTGGCTTAGGTGAACCAACATTTTCAAACAGTTGAGCTTTTGCTGCCACTACTGAGCCAGGACGCTGATAGCCATTGCTTGAGGCGGTGTCTAGTCTTAACCTCCTGCACATTTTTGGAGGCAGGTCTGGGTTTGAAGCTTTGGGTGTCTCCTTGGAACCTACAGAAGCTAAGCTTTGAATATATCCACTGTAGCTGGTGTTTCCTTCAGCTGCAGAGATGGATCTGAGAGAAGAAGCAGAAGCTCTTTTCAGTCCTGAAAGTCCATAAGGCCCTTTCTTGACTAGGTCTATGGGT
Organism: Homo sapiens; assembly: GCF_000001405.40. Lineage (NCBI taxonomy): Eukaryota > Metazoa > Chordata > Mammalia > Primates > Hominidae > Homo > Homo sapiens. The sequence continues at coordinate 180,892 of NW_025791762.1, read as the reverse complement.
GGGGAAACATCCCCTGGGCTAGTGACCGAAACAACACTCTGGCAATCTGATTCTGCATCTGTCTTTGTTGCATCTTCTCTAGAAATTGATTCAGGACTGGTTGTCCAGAGACCAAGGCTTTTCTGTCCATGGGAAGATGACGGGGTTGCAATCCAAGGAATCCCTCCAGATTTCTCCCTGGGCTGGCAGGAAGCTGACTTTGTAGTGCTATTTTGTTCTGAGGAAAGAGAAGAGAGTGACTTGTTGCTCCCCATGGGGGTGCTGTCTGGGCTGCTGCTGTAGGAGTCACTATCAGGTTCAGCCAGGCATGGAGTACCCGTCCCTCTGGACTTCCTAGAGCCTGTAGAGAGGCAGATTGCTTGTGTCTTTTGGGATCCAGATCGAGACTGAGGCTGAGGAAGAGGAGTGCTTGGGTCTGGAGCAGTATGAAAAATCGTTTCATCGTGCTCTGTAAGAATTTCTAACACAATATTCTGAAATTTAATATTCACCATAGCAGCTACAGTTTATTCTTGTGCTCTCATTAGAGTTGGGCCAAATATGACACCAAGATTTGAGACAGTCATGAGATTTTGTTGGCTGTGCAGTGATACTTTGACCAGATGTTTTATTAAGATGTCCAGCATCTCTCTGTTTTTCTCTGGCAATTTGCACACCAATGCATGTACAGCCTCCACCCTGTAGTTTTGGTCATCAGATTTAACAGCAATGATACAAATCTTTGTGTAACTTGTAAGTCATCAGTGGTGCTGCAAAGCACCTGAGGTAGTTTTTCAGCCCACTCATTGTCTTATTGTCCCACAGTTCAATATCAATATCAGGAGGGGATTTAGGAGAAAATATGATATTCACAAGTTTTTGAACTTTGGAGTTCACTCCTCCTATTCAGTAGAGGCCTAAAACGGTGATACTGCTTGTTTCCACAGCTTGAATGCAGTTTCTCACAAAATTGAACCCTGCTTCATTCAAATACCTTTCTTCTTTCTTGCTTATAATGTCAGGCAGAGTATAAATCGTTTCCTTCCCATCCATGGCTTCAAGCCAGAGTTTCCTATTAGCGTCTGAGAAGGCCTGTAATGTGATGATCCCATGCCTTTCAACTACTTGTATGTCGAAGCAGAAGTGGTTGTCAATTGAATCTGTCTTTCGTCGGATACAAGATTTTGAACATTTCCGGTGAGCTAGTAACAAGGCTGTTTAATCCACATAAAACCAAGCGGTCGTTTCTCCTGGACATACGGATAGCCTTCCATCGTCCACTGGCTGGGTGGTCTGTAGTCCTGGTTGGCAGATTTCATCCTCTGCATCAACCCCTCTACGTCTTGTCGAGTACTTTCAAAATTATTCCTTGTATTCTGCAAGTCGAACTGCAGCTGTTGCTTATGCGGTGCAAATCCTGGGCAAGTTCATATCCCTCATGGTAAAAAAGTAAATAAACCCTGAAGAAATGACAAAAGCGGTTCAACAAATTCAAACTTTTTTTCTTGAACCGCTTGAATTTTAAAGACATTCTTTTTTCTTTTATTTATTTTTATTTATTTGTTTATTCATTTATTTTGAGACGGAGTTTTGCTCTTGTTGCCCAGGCTGGAGTGCAATGGCATAGCCTTGGCTCACTGCAACCTCTGCCTCCTGGGTCCAAGCGATTCTCCTGCCTCAGCCTCCCGAGTAGCTGGCTTTACAGGCATGTGCCACCACACCTGGCTAATTTTGTATTTTTAGTAGAGACGGGATTTCTCCATGTTGGTCAGGCTGGTCTCGAACTCCTGACCTCAGGTGATCCACCCGCCTCGGCCTCCCAGAGTGCTGGGATTACAGGCGTGAGCCATTTAAAGACATTCTAATGATGCTTCATAGAAGTTCTGATGTGCTCGATCAATTTGTGTATCTGCCTCTTGCAAATGAGACTCCTTTTTCTTTGCAGATAAATTTAAATGCTTTTCAAGGATAGAGTAATATTTTTCACTCTTTGTCAAACTTCTTTCCACCTTTTGCTGCACCAATCTGTTCTTTTCGAAATTTCTCAAGTGGTGCAATTAATACATCATTAGCGTTTTGGATCAGTCTTCGCCTTTCTTCTTCTACTGCAATGAGTAGCCTTGCAAATTCTTTTAGTGACTGAGTAATACTAATTTCATCATCTGTTTGAGCATTATCAATACATTCAAATTGGAAATCTTGTAATGACTGGGAAAATTTCTGCACTGCCATAGACAGATCCCCAACCTGGGTAGAGGTGTGTTCCTTTGGAAAGGGTGAAAGGGTAAGGGAACTGGGTAGGCAATCAACATTACCTGTCCTCAACGCCCCAGTGAGCGGAGAGCCCTCCTTAATGAGCTCCTTGATGAACTTGTTGGTTCGCTCCAGTTCAATCTCCTGACACTGCAAGCGCTCCCTGAAATCCGGGCTGTCCAAGTAGGAATCGCTGAACTCCAGAGTAGGCAGCCCCATGGCACAGGCGCTGTCAGCGGCGTCCGCGGGCACGTCTGGGCCGGCGGTCAGGGCAGCAGCTGGCAGCCGCGACGTGCGCTGGGGACGCGCGATCGCGGGGAAGGCGCTGCTGGGACGCCAGGGGACTGATCGCTGAAAGGAAACGGGCCCGCGCGCTCCAGCCGCCTGAGCCGGGCTCAGTCTTCCTCTCCCGGGGCGAGGCAGCGCAGGCCTGGCGGAGGGCCTAGGCGCGGGTCCGCTCAGGTTGCTGTCAACCGGAGGCACCGTCGTTCGGAGCGCTGGGACTGCGAGCAACATTGTTGATTATTAAAGAAGCACACAATAGAAGTGCTAATTTTATTTTACGAGTTCCTTGATAATTTTTAGACTCTTTTGTAGGAAAGAAAAGTAATGTGTTTATGCTTGCCCCAGGCTTCCCTGTGTGAAAGCTGCTTTTTCTCAACTTTCAAAAATGAGTTTCTGATTGACATTAATGATTCTGTTAAATCTCTATATAAGGCAAAGGCAATTGGGAACATTTGGAAAGGCATTTGGAAACTTCCAAAATTATAAATATTTGCATTGAAACTTCCAAAGCCAATTGTGTTCATTACTTTTTTTTTTAATTTTTCCTGAGAAATTATCCCACAAAAAGCAAGAGGCCTCTAGTGTAACTAGTTTTCAGTTTTCCTGTTACTCAAGTCAGATCAGCTGAAGCATGTTCAACCTCTCCCCTGTGGGCCAGTTACAGGGGAAGGAAGGAAGGGGGGGAGGGAGGAAGGAAGGAAGGAGAAAGGAAGGAAGAAGGAGGAAAGAAAGAAATGTAGTCCTGGGGATACACTAACAGTTCCAGAAATAGAAGCAATTTATTTTCTCAATTTCTTTCTTACCTTCTTTCACACTATCATTCACTAATTAATTCAATCACCAGCATGGTTTTACATGTCCAGCTTCTTTCCTTTTCTTAAAAATCTCTTCCAATCACACCATCTTTTTCTTAAAAGCTTCAAATTTCCCATAGTTATTTTATTCAAAAGCCACGAGGTTCAACATGATTTTGGCATACACTCTGGATCACAGGATAGAATTGGAAAACTTGGCATGGCCCAACACACACATACACACACACACACACACACACACACACACACACACACGACACAGCTTTCTGATCAGCAGCTTTTGGAAATGGAGTACTGCTGTGAAAGTAGAAAGGGGATTTTCCTGTTATTAGGGACCTACAATGTGGTAGGCACTAAGACAAACATCTGACTTCATTACTCTAATCCTCAGAAATCTCTGTAGTGTGCCCATTCCTATATCACAGATGAGATATTAGTTCATGAAAGCTGTCCTCTATCCAAGGTTATGTAATTTATGCCCAGTTATATACAAAATTGGAATGCCGGTCTCTAATCTCTAAAGCCCATACTTTCTCTACTGTAGTTTATTGCCTCTCCTAGGAAATTTCTTCCTCCATGACAATATCATGAAGAAGGGGAAACTATTGCTTGTCACTTCTTAGTATCAACACTTCTTCCATCATCTAGCATGAATAATGTAGAGACACCACCAATTCTGTTGGAGAGCAGAAATAATCTTAAGGTTGTTCAACTTCCTAGCCACCCTGGTTCCATTCCTGCCCAGCTGCAAGAAAGAATTATTAAAGAACTCTGTGAAATTGACCTTTGGTGTGGGAAGAAAGCATAACAAGATGGTGAATCAAACATTGTGCTGCATTTAGCATTTATTATAGATTATTACGCAAAGTGAAGTAAAATTTTGTTAAATGCAAAATTGTCTATAAGAACAGCATAATATGTGCTTAATCCTACTTCTCTGCGATCACGTGATAAGTTAGTCACATGATTGGCATTTTAGACATGATGGTGCAGAGAGGTAAATAACTTGCCCCAGTCACATAGCAAATAAATGGCAGAATCAGAATTCAAATCCAGTCTTTCATGACTCCAAAGGGCCTGAGTTCTTTCCAATACACCGATGGTTCTCAACTACAGAGTGTATCAGAATTACCAGAGAGTGTGTTCAAAGTAAAGCTAAATGCCCAAGCTTTGACCAATAACTGCTGAATGAGAATCTCCAGGGTCAGGACATATGTTTGTTTGAGCAACTTCCTAGGCAACCCTGCTATATGCCGAAGTTTGACGGCCATACTACTATACCATGCTGCCTTATGGAGTTATAGAAATGATCCTTTGCTAAAACATTAAAAACATGTAGACTAATCTTTACATCTTATGGGAGTTACTAGTGAACTAGCAAAAATTTTAACATTTTGTGAATTTTTGTTAATCTGTACATTGGGTATAATGGTTTTTGCTTAAATTAGAATGTACTTATTTGTGTTTAATTGTTCTCAACTTAGAGCTAATTTGTAGAATTCATTTATTTGCTTTTACTCAGCACTCTACAAATTTTCTATAAAACGTTACAGTGTCTCTTTCACCTTGGGACACCAAATATTCCACAGAGACTGCCCCTTAGTTTAAGGGACCTTACTCTTTTCTTTGACAAATATACATATACATACATATATATATATATATATATATATATATATATATATATATATATATATATATAATTTCTTTTACATATATATGTAAAGCAGGTCTTGGTGGGTTAATGGGACTAAATAATACAGTTATTTTTGAAGAGCAAGACTTAGTAAAATAATTAAAGATCAAAGATTCTTATGACTGGAAAAGATTTGATTACCTTCAGTGAGCCCAAGGAATTACAGGCCAAATCTCCTGTGGATATTTCCAAAATGAGGTCATGTGGCTAACTTGTTGATTGTAAGAGACCACATTAAAGGCCTCTGAATTGTTTCAAAAACATCATATAAATTTAATGCCCCCACCCCAATTCCTGCTTCTAATAAAAATACAGTGTTAGTGTCTGACTACAGAAGTCACACATGAGGAGTTCATTTTTTTATTTTTTATTTTATTTATTTAATTTTTTTGAGATGAAGTCTCACTCTGTTGCCCAAGCTGGAGTGCAGTGGCATAATCTTGGCTCACTGCAACCTCCACCTCCTGGGTTTGAGCGATTCTCCTGCCTCAGCCTCCCAAGTAGCTGGAATTACAGGCATGTGCCACCATGCCTGGCTAATTTTTGTATTTTTAGTAGATACTGGGTTTCACTTTGTTGGCCAAGCTGGTCTCAAACTCCTGACCTTGTGATCCTCCCACCTCAGCCTCTCAAAGTGCTGGGATTACAGGCGTGAGCCACCACACCTGGCCCGCAAGGAGTTTATTTAAACCAAAGAATTTCTCTTTCTGTTTTTCTCATCTGCTGAATTTCCTTACTTAGAGTTTGCAGTTTCTCTCTTGCCTCTGGGCTACAAGTAACTGTTCATATAATTTGAATAGTATCTCATGTTTAAAAACAAATTAAGACACAGAATACTTGCCTGTGTAATGGAAAATCAATGGAACACTGTCAGTTTCCAAGAGAAATGTATAGTTTTGTTATAATTTGAAATGCTTAGATCACCTTTCAGCTGTATCTTTCAGTGATCACATAAATGTGTCAAGAACAAGGTTTCCTAAAATGGTTAAAAAACAATCCCTCTGCTTGAGTTTTGATGATGGTTAGCAGTTATTCAACTCTTTACCTTCTCAGTCTTATGCTGTCAAGTAGAGAAAATAAGTTTATGCAATGGGAAGAAACAAGATAAGCTCTTAGATTTTAAACTAATTATATTGTTCTTAATTGATGGGCTTTCAATGAAATTTTTGAAATTATGTTTTTTATTTATTCATTTTGACTTCATATTTTTCTAAATTTAATCTTTCACATTAGCAAAAATAAAAAACCTTTTAGAAGAACTGGCGCTTATCCAGGATCCATTTGCACCATTTCATCTTGTCCCTTCAGTCTTGTCATTATTATAAAAATAGAGGGTCTGCTATAAAGATGGGAGAAATGAAGCTCTCATTGGCAGTTAATACAGAGGATTTAGGGAACGCTTTGTGTCCTCATTTAGCAGTTGCTACCTGCGAACTCTCATCACAGTCATACAAACTTCAAGAATCAGGCTTCCATTCTATTGTAGTAATAGTTCTGTTACTGTTCTTACAAGAATTAATTTTAATTCAATAAGCAAAATTTGAGTCTTTTCAGTGAACAAGAATCAAGGACATTAAAAAGAATTTTTTTTAAAGTAACACCCTTTAAAATAGCCACACATAGAGTTAAATACCTAGGAATTAACTTGACCAAAGAAGTGAAAGATTTCTATAATAAAAACTATAATACACTGATGAAAGAAATTGAATAGGACACCAAAAACTGGAAAAGTATTTCAGGTTCATGGATTGGAAGAATCAATATTGATAAAATGTAGATACTACCACCCAAAGCAATCTACAGATTCAATGCAATCCTTATCAAAATATCAATGACTATTGTGTCTATTTGATTCTTGTCTCTTTTCTTCTTTATTAGTCTTGCTAGCGGTCTGTCAATTTTGTTGATCTTTTAGAAAAACCAGCTCCTGGATTCATTAATTTTTTGAAGGGTTTTTTGTGTCTCTATTTCCTTCAGTTCTGCTCTGATTTTAGTTATTTCTTGCCTTCTGCTAGCTTTTGAATGTGTTTGCTCTTGCTTATCTAGTTCTTTTAATTGTGACTTTAGGGTGTCAATTCTGGATCTTTCCTGCTTTCTCTCGTGGGCATTTAGTGCTATAAATTTCCCTCTACACACTGCTTTGAATGTGTCCCAGAGATTCTGGTATGTTGTGTCTTTGTTCTCCTTGGTTTCAAGAACATCTTTATTTCTGCCTTCATTTCGTTATGTACTCAGTAGTCATTCAGGAGCAGGTTGTTCAGTTTCCATGTAGTTGAGTGGTTTTGAGTGAGTTTCTTAATGCTGAGTTCTAGTTTGATTGCACTGTGGTCTGAGAGACAGTTTGTTATAATTTCTGTTCTTCTACATTTGCTGAGGAGTGCTTTACTTCTAACTATGTGGTCAATTTTGGAATAGGTGTGGTGTGGTGCTGAAAAAAATGTATATTCTGTTGATTTGGGGTATAGAGTTCTGTAGATGTCTATTAGATCCGCTTGGTGCAGAGCTGAGTTCAATTCCTGGGTATCCTTCTTAACTTTCTGTCTCATTGATCTGTCTAATGTTGACAGTGGGGTGTTAAAGTCTCCCATTATTATTGTGTGGGATTCTACATCTCTTTGTAGATCACTAAGGACTTGCTTTATGAATCTGGGTGCTCCTGTATTGAGTGCAGATATATTTAGGATAGTTAGCTCTTCTTGTTGAATTGATCCCTTTACCATTATGTAATGGCCTTCTTTGTCTCTTTTGATCTTTGTTGGTTTAAAGTCTGTTTTATCAAAGACTAGGATTGCAACTCCTGCCCATTTTTGTTTTCCATTTGCTTGGTAGATCTTCCTCCATCCCTTTATTTTGAGCCTATGTGTGTCTCTGCATGTGAGATGGGTTTCCTGAATACAGCACACTGATGGGTCTTGACTCTTTATCCAATTTGCCAGTCTGTGTCTTTTAATTGGAGCATTTAGCCCATTTACATTTAAAGTTAATATTGTTATATGTGTATTTGGTCCTGTCATTATGATGTTAGCTGGTTATTTTGCTCGTTAGTTGATGCAGTTTCTTCCCAGCCTTGATGGTCTTTACATTTTGGAATGTTTTTGCAGTGGCTGGTACCAGTTCTTCCTTTCCATGTTTAGTGCTTCCTTCAGGAGCTCTTTTAGGGCAAGCCTGATAGTGACAAAATCTCTCAGCATTTGCTTGTCTTTAAAGGATTTTATTTCTCCTTCACTTATGAAGCTTAGTTTGGCTGGATATGAAATTCTGGGTCGAAAATTCTTTTCTTTAAGAATGTTGAATATTGGCCTCCACTCTCTTCTGGCTTGTAGAGTTTCTGCCGAGAGACCCACTGTTAGTCTGATGGGCTTCCCTTTGTGGGTAACCCAACCTTTCTCTCTGGGTGCCCTTAACATTTTTTCCTCCATTTCAACTTTGGTGAATCTGACAATTATGTGTCTGGGAGTTGCTCTGCTCGAGGAGTATCTTTGTGGCATTCTCTGTATTTCCTGAATCTGAATGTTGGCCTGCCTTGCTAGATTGGGGAAGTTCTCCTGGATAATATCCTGCAGAGTGTTTTCCAACTTGGTTCCATTCTCCCCGTCACTTTCAGGTACACCAATCAGATGTAGATTTGGTCTTTTCACATAGTCCAATATTTCTTAGAGGTTTTGTTTGTTTTTTTATTCTTTTTTCTCTAAACTTCCCTTCTCGCTTCATTTCATTCATTTTGTCTTCCATCACTGATACCCTTTATTCCAGCTGATCGCATCGGCTCCTGAGGCTTCTGCATTCTTCACGTAGTTCTCGAGCCTTGACTTTCAGCTCCATCAGCTCCTTTAAGGACTTCTCTGCATTGGTTATTCTAGTTATCGATTTGTCTAATTTTTTTTCACAGTTTTTAACTTCTTTGCCATTGGTTTGAATTTCCTCCTGTAGCTTGGAGTAGTTTGATTGTCTGAAGCCTTCTTCTCTCAGCTTGTCAAAGTCATTCTCCATCCAGCTTTGTTCCGTTGCTGGTGAGGAGCTGCATTCCTTTGGAGGAGGAGAGGTGCTCTGCTTTTTAGAGTTTCCAGTTTTTCTGCTGTTTTTTCCCTGTCTTTGTGGTTTTATCTACTTTTGGTCCTTGATGATGGTGATGTACAGAAGGGTTTTTGGTGTGGATGTCCTTTCTGTTTGTTAGTTTTCCTTCTAACAGACAGGACCCTCAGCTGCAGGTCTGTTGGAGTTTGCTAGAAGTCCACTCCAGACCCTGTTTGCCTGGGTATCAGCAGCAGTGACTGCAGAACAGTGGTGGCTGTAGAAGAGCAGTGGCTGTAGAACAGCGGATCTTGGTGAACCGCAAATGCTGCTGCCTGATTGTCCCTCTGGAAGTCTTATCTCAGAGAAGTACCCGGCCGTGTGAGGTGTCAGTCTGCCCCTACTGGGGGGTGCCTCCCAGTTAGGCTGCTTGGGGGTCAAGGACCCACTTGAGGAGGCAGTCTGCCTGTTCTCAGATCTCCAGCTGTGTGCTGGGAGAACCACTACTCTCTTCAAAGCTGTCAGACAGGGACATTTAAGTCTTCAGAGGTTACTGCTGTCTTTTTGTTTGTCTGTACCCCGCCCCCAGAGGTGGAGCCTACAGAGGCAGGCAGGCCTCCTTGAGCTGTGGTGGGCTCCACCCCGTTTGAGCTTCCCTGCCACTTTGTTTACCTAATCAAGCCTGGGCAATGGCAGGCGCCTCTCCCCCAGCCTCGCTGCTGCCTTGCAGTTTGATCTCAGACTACTGTGCTAGCAATCAGCCAGACTCTGTGGGCGTAGGACCCTCCAAGCCATGTGCGGGATATAATCTCCTGGTGTGCAATTTTTGAGCCTGTTGGAAAAGCGCAGTATTAGGGTGGGAGTGACCCAATTTTCCAGGTGCTGTCTGTCACCCCTTTCTTTGACTAGGAAAGGGAACTCCCTGACCCCTTGCGCTTCTTGAGTGAGGCAATCCCTCGCCCTGCTTTGGGTCATGCACAGTGTGCTGCACCCACTGTCCTGCACCCACTGTCTGGCACTCCCTAGTGAGATGAACCCGGTACCTCAGATGGAAATGCAGAAATCACCCATCTTCTGCATCGCTCACGCTGGGAGCTGTAGACCGGAGCTCTTCATATTCGGCCATCTTGGCTCCACCCTCAGGGGATTTAATTCTTTTAAAATTCAATGCTGTTGAAATGTTTACTCAAGAAGCAATGCGTTTTTGAGAGCTAATCCTGATCTATTCAAATCTTAATGACTTAAGTTGATGGAGTGGACTTCTTTAAATTAGGGATTCCCTAATTTGCCTGACTGCTGGAATTTCCAGGGCATACTGAAAATACAGATTATCCAGGCTCTTACCTCTGCAGATGTATTTAGTGGTTCTAAAATGGCACCCAGGAGTCTGGATTTTTCCCAGGGGCCTTGTGTAATTCACATTGGTGAACAGGCAAGTTTGGGAAATAGTGCCTTAAAGAGATTTTTCATTAAGCAGTCTTCATTTGAAATGAGGATCACTTATCTTCTAATACCCCATGCTTCCTCTTTCTCCTGCCTTCCTCACCTCCTGTTGTCTTTCAGTTCTTAGAAACTTTAATTGAATGGAAGTTCCTAGTAGATCTGTACCTACTAAAACCCACACTTCTGAATCTACGTGGCCACCAGAAGACACAGCTAGTCTGCCATGTAAAAAAGGAAAGGTTGTGTGTGCACTGAGGGTGCAGAGGTGACAGGCAGGGGAATGGAGACCCCCACAGCCAGCAGCAGTGGCCCTCATCACAGTCCTCCAGGAGATATGAAAGGAGGTCAGACGTTGGACAGTAGTCTTGCCTTCCTGCTATAGAACACATTGTTAACACCAAAAAAGCTGATCTCTTCTAAGGGAATGGGGAAAGCTGACTCTACAACTTGTGCTTTTAATTTCAGGATGGCACAGCTTCTAAATGGCATCTAAGTTGCTGATATAAAAATGAAAATTCTGTGTGCTTTGATATTAGCAGGCTTTAAATACAAACCAGAGTAAGATTAAATTGTTTCTTAATCAAATCAAATAATTTTCACATTGGCAGTCCATTCGGCATCTGGATCATGTTTGCTCTAGGCTGAGTAGTCCGTGAAAGTCTGGAGGGAAATACAGAGGCCAATTCTCCATAACCATTAGGCTCAGAAATACCCTGCTTCCCCGTGAAAAGTTTAAATTGATTTGACGCCACCTTCACCAAACCGAGGTTGGTCAACACTTTCCACCACTGCAACTGCACACTTTGACTTCCAATTTTGCTTCCTGCTCTGTGAAGATACCCCCTTCCTTCCTTTCTCACATTCTCCCTATAACCTCATCTTCCTTTCATCCACTCTGTCTCATTATTTGTCCATCTTTGTTTCCCAAAACCTTATATAGAACAGAAATTGACCAATTAAGATTACCATGTGGAAGAGCATCCATTTACTGAATAAGGCAGCTGGCTCCTCGGGGCAGAAAAGTGATTGGACACAGAGATAAAAATCATAATCCCTGCTCTCCTGGACTCACTGTCCAGTGGGGAGACAGATAGATGAACAAATACAACTTGATAACTAAAACAATCAAGTGAATTATATAATTTAGACTAGAGAAAGAGATAACAAATGTTATCATAAGACAGTGTGTCCACTACTTACTCTCTAACAGATTTCCTCATAAACCACTAGGCTTGCCAACTTGTTGAATAAGAAAATTGGAGGGTCAGGGGAGGGGAAATACATATGCTTCTTAGTATTTCATTCCATAAATACATAAATAATGAAACTATTAATGATATAATCATGTTGATTCAATAAGTTTGAAACCCCAAAATTGATAGTAATCTTTAGAAGAAATTGTGTATGTGTCTATGCATGTACACACATAGACATATACATATTGCTTTCTGAAATTTTCAATGACTTTATGCTTCTTCTGAAGCAATTCGAGTTTAGAATTTGAGACCCATGGGTCAAAACATCTTCTTGAGTATACTGAAGAACATTTGGATTAATTTCAGACATGTATTTTGGTTTATATAGTGTTTTTTATCCATGGTAACTTATTTACTGTTTAAAAACATACTGAGAACAAACAACAGCAGCAACCCTGAATTGAGTGAAAGTCCTGAGAAAGGCTTTGCCCAATCGGTGCATGTGCGTGTTTACATAATCTCCTGTCTGAACCTAGGAACTGGCTGAATGAGCTAGCAGATGGTCTCTTTGGCTGTATTATAAATAATAATTTATTTTTATTTGTTTTATTAATTAATTAATTCATTCATTCATTCATTCATTTATTTTGAGACAGGGTCTTGCTCTTTCACCCAGGCTAGAGTAGGGTGGCAGAATCACAGCTCACTGCAGCCTTCAACTCCAAGGCTCAAGCAATCCTCCTGCCTCAGCCTCCTGAGTAGGACTACAGGTGCATGCCACCATGCCCAGCTAAGTTTTAAAAACTTTTTTTGTAGAGACAGGGTCTTATTATGTTGCCCAGGCTGGTCTCAAACTCCTGGACTCAAGCGATCCTCCTTCCTTGGCCTCTCAAAGTGCTGGGATTATAGGTTTGAGCCACCACACCTGGCCAGAAATGACATTTTAAAACCAACTATTACCTACACAGATGTATGATGCTCCCTTGTTGTTTTGTTTCAAAATAGGAATGCCTTAGGTTTTTGGCTCATTTTGTTTTATCAAAGATCTTAAATGCAGTTGTGAATATTTTTGTTTACCCTCATAATAGCCTGAGAATTTAGAATGAATATAATTATTGCTATTTTCACAAGTAAAATTGGAATGAGAAGATAAAACAGTGGAACACAGGTGTAAGTAAGAACAGCAGAGGCAAGCCATCTATAGAATATTAAAATTTCTTGCATGCATGTTACCAACATTTTCTCATGCCTGAAATCCCAGCACTTTGGGAGGCTGAGACGGGTGGATCACCTGTGGTCAGTAGTTTGAGACTAGCCTGGCCAACATGGTGAAACCCCGTGTCTACTAAAAGTACAAAGATTAGCCAGGCGTGGTGGCAGGCACCTATAATCCCAGCTACTCAGAAGGCTGAGGCAGGAGAATTGCTTGAACCTGGGAGGCAGAGGTTGCAGTGAGCCGAGATCACACCATTGCACTCCAGCCTGGGGGAAAAGAGCGAGACTCCTTCTCAAAAAAAAAAAAAAAAAAAAAACCAAATAAACCAAACCAAACCAAAACAACAACAACCAAAAACAACATTTTCTAAGACAAGCAAACCTACTAAGCTTTATAAGGCCCCCATCCCCCCAAGTATTGTCCTTTCCAGGTACCCCAACATTAATGACCGCAACTGGTACTAGCCTTGTGACATACAATCCCAGCACATTGTTGGGCTCTGATGTTTTCTAGGAATTTTTTCTTTACAGCCTTATTGATATTAAGCTCTATTTTCTGAAGACCTGGTTTTTATAAACTGTATATTTTTGCAGTTGAGGGAAAATGATCTCAGGTCAGTCAATCCGCTGTTGACCCACAAATGAAATGAGGTAGGATTATTGTTAAGACGGAGAGGTGTCTGCATCATCCTACACTTTTTCCCAGCCTCCAGGTGACCATATAATTAAAGTATCCTTGATATTTCTATGTAGTTTAAGTTTTTAATTCTAGAACCCCTCAATCTTTCTCTATTCAACTTAAATGAAAAGACATTTGAGTATCCAGAAGACACTCAGCACTCAGAAGCAAAGCAAGAAAAACGGAAACATTATAGTCAATGCCCATGTTCTACCCCAGGATGAAATGAGGCATTAATACTGAGAGTTGTGATTCTGAATAAGTCTTAACCTCATGCACATCTTAGTTGTTCAAAAATGTGTCATGTCAGCAAGGTGGTAACAGTGAAGATTTTCTACAATCAAAATAGTATTGTTATGTTCTGTTGTATAAAATAGAAATAAATGTACCACATTGGTCAGAAAAATCACACTAGCATATTCTGGCAGCTTAATTTTTTTATTATTATACTTTAAGTTCT